>NC_000012.12:113975279-114126794 GCF_000001405.40 Homo sapiens
CTGTTGCTCTCTTGCCCCAATCCTTCTGTCCCTTCTGGGCATGGTTCAGAGGCACTGGGGAGGACTTGTAGAAATGTATCATATAGCTATGCGGACACATTAATATTTATTGCACATTGTTTGCAATCACCAAGGATGGGCAACAGCCGAAATACCCATCAACAGAGAACCGATGAGACAATGGATAAAATATCATGTAGATGTTAAGAAAAGAATGAAGCAATGCTCAAGCCTCGATTTCAAATCCATTCTTTAATAAAAAGGACCAGGGCTATTTGGAGTAATGGCTATTTCTAGGGCTGGGGCAGGGAATACACAAGGTGAACCTGGAGTATCTTGTAATGCCAAAAAGTAAGAACGAGCTCAAAACAAAATTTTTTCCCTAATGGGACACAAGAGCCAACTGAAAGGGCTTCCAGTGTCCAAGGCTGGAATATTTTGAGTAACAAAATAAATAATATGGCCGGGCACTGTGGCTCAAGCCTGTAATCCCAGCCCTTTGGGAGGCCGAGACGGGCCAATCACCTGAAGTCGGGAGTTTGAGAGCAGCCTGGCCAACATGGTGAAACACCGTCTCTACTAAAAATATAAAAATTAGCCAGGCATGGTAGCGGGCGCCTGTAATCCCAGCTACTCGGGAGGCTAAGGCAGGAGAATTGCTTGAACCTGGGAGGTGGAGGTTGCAGTGAGCCGAGATCGCACCACTGTACTCTAGCCTGAGCGAAAGAGCGAAACTCCGTCTCAAAATAAATAAATAAATAAATAAAGTAGTATTGGATTATAACCCAAAGTATAAAATAAATATTCATAAGTCCAGTGACATAAATAAGTAATAGAAAATAAAATGGAGGATAGATAAATTGAGAATTTCAAATCATTTATGATAATACTTGTCCCTCAAGGCTGGGCATGGTGGCTCACAGCTTGTAATCCTAGCTCTCTGGGATGCCAAGGCGGGAGGATTGCTTGGGCCCAGGAGACCAGCCGGGGCAACATGGCAAGATCCCATCTCTACAAAAAATGGAAAATTAGCCAAGTGTGGCGGTGTGCACCTGTAGTCCCAGCTACTTGTGGGGCTGAGGTGGGAGGATTGCTTGAGCCCAGGAGGTTGAGGCTGCAGTGAGCGATGGTCTCACCCCTATACTCCAGCCTGGGCAATAGAGTGAGACCCTCTCTCAAAAAAAAAAAAAAAAAAAGAAGAAGAAGGAACATCACTTCCCAGCCTTATGTGTGGGCTGTGCATCATGACTTCCAGAGACTACACTACAGAAAAGGAGGGAGAAGAGTAGCTTTATGGTGGAGAAATCTGAGAAACATGACCTTAGCCAGGTGGTCAAGGTCAAGATCAACAGTGATAAGTCATGTTGATGTATGTATGCTTGATAGGAAATGACCATTCACCTCTGTGGTCATCCCCCCGGGGAACCATAACCAAAGTCTAATTATGAGAAAACATCAGACCAACCCCTGCTGAAGGACATCCTTCAAAATCCCTGGGCAGTGCCCCTCAAAACTGTCAAGGCCATTGAAAACAAGAGAAGTCTGAGAAACTGTCACAGCCAAGTAGAGCCTAAGGAATAAACCGAATATGGGATGCTGGGACAGAAAGAGGACATTAGATACAAACAAACAAATATCTGAATAGAGCATAGACCTGAATGAATAGTCATGTATCAGTATTGGTTCATTAATTGGGACAAACATTCCAGAGCAATGCTGACAATAAGGAAATCTGGGTACAGGGAATTCGGGAACTCTGTAAGGTTTTCACAACTCTTCTGTGAACTTAAACTGTTCCAAAATAGTTTATTAAATATTTCTTTTGTTGTTGTTGCCCAGGCTGGAGTGCAGTGATGTGACCTCAGCTCACTGCAGCCTCCACCTCCTGGGTTCAAGCGATTCTCCTGCCCCAGCTTCCCGAGTAGCTGGGATTACAGGTGCGCGCCACCACACACAGGTAATTTTTGCATTTTTAGTAGAGGTGGGGTTTCACCATATTGGCCAGGCTGGTCTTGAACTCCTGACCTCAAGTGATCTGCCCACCTTGGTCTCCCAAATGGTGGGATTACAAATGTAAGCCACCACACCTGGTCTATTAGATATCTCTAAAAAGACATTGTGAAAATGAAAAAAGAAGGGTTCAGTAATTCTGTATTTATAGATGTGTATTAATAGCCAAAGTATATTCCAAGTCATCAAGAAAGCACACGGCTGCACCTTGCTTTTTTGGCAACAATTCTGCAGGCTCACATGGTGCTGTATCCTTTACAGTGCACCAGATTGAGAGGCTTGTGACATCAATTTGCCTCAAAACTGATGATGGTGACTTTATTTTTTATTTTATTTTTCTGAGACATAGTCTCGCTCTGTCGCCAGGCTGGAGTACAGTGGCGCAATCTCACTGCAACCTCCACCTCCCAGGTTCAAGCGATTCTCCTGCCTCAGCCTCCTGAGTAGCTGGGACTACAGGCATGCGCCACCACGCCCAGCTAATTTTTGTATTTTTAGTAGAGATGAGGTTTCACCATATTGGCCACGATGGTCTCGATCTCTCGACCTCATGATCCATCCACCTTGGCCTCCCAAAGTGCTAGGATTACAGGCGTGAGCAACCGCGCCCGGCCTGATGATGGTAACTTTGATGGCTTGGTTAAGGGGGTGCCTGCCAGGTTCCTCTTTTGTAAAATTTTTCTTTTTGTCATTAACAAGTAATCTATGGGTTTTTAAAAATGTTGTTAGTATGTAGAAAGGCTCAGAGTTGGTACATTTTAGTTAATTTTTTTTTTTTGGCATACGTAGGTCCTGGGGCAACCTTCTTCTCATCTGCTGACATACAGGGAAACTGAGGCCCAGAAAGGAGGAAGCACTTGCCCAAGATCACATTGTAGAGACCAAGGCCAGGTTCAAGTTTGGCTCCCTTTGCTCCTCCCTGCGTGTGACCACCCCTAGGGGGCAGGAAGTGGACCCAGTGGAGGGGGGTGCTAGAGATGGTTGCCCTGGGGTGTCACCATCTGCTATGTTGAGTGTCACCAATGTAGCCCAGCATTTCACAACCCACCCCAAAAGCCCCTCTGAAGGGCAGCCTCCTATTCCCAGGCAACTGCAGAGGAGCCTCAAGGGAGAATCCAAGTGGCCAGGATGATTGGAAACAGGAGACCAGGTGTGCACTAGCTTCAGCCACATCTGCATGGAGACCAGGCAGTTCACCTGTGGCAGGTGGCAGCTGAGCCTTGGCCCTGGTGGGCCCTGCTGGGGGCCCAACATTAGAGATGTGGGGGCCCCTCCTTCTCTTGGCAGTGAAACAGAAATATTCACCTGGAAGGAGCAGAAACAACAAATCATTCACCAAACAGACTACGGCTGGGAAAAAGCTAAATTCACTCTGAGAAGACAAGCCAACGAGGGTCCTATCCCAGGCTCTGGAGGCTGCAAATTCCAGTGCCGCTTTAATTGGGGCTGGCTATGATGCTCAGTGGGGACCCAGGCAGTGTGCTGGGGATGGGATGGAATTAAAATCAGAATCATTGTCTTTCCTTTTTAAATTTTGCAGTGGTGCTGTGGGCTGATACCTCCTTCACACATACAGAGAATCATCAAGGTCTGGCTTAAAAAGAGAGTTCAGTTGAAGGAATGGTTTGCCAGAAAAAAAATAAATGAAAGAGAGCTCTTTTTTTTTTTTTTTTGAGTCAGGGTCTAATTCTCTCACCCAGGCTGGAGTGCAGTGGCACAATCACGGCTCACTGTAGCCTCGACTTCCTGGGCTCAGGTGATTCTCCCACCTCAGCATCCCAAGTAGCGGGGACCACAGGTGCACTCCACCACACTCAGCTGATTTTTAAAACAAGTTTTGTAGAGATGGGGTTTCTACAGGTTGCCCTGGCTGGTCTCAAACTCCTGGGCTCAAATGATCCACCCAACTCGGCTTCCCAAAGTTCTGGCATTAGAGATGTCAGCCACGACACCAGCCCCATCACTAAATTTGATTATGGTTCAACTAGACAGGGAGCTCTCTTCAGGGAGGCAGACATGATCATTCATTCACTCACTTATTATTCACATAGTTCCTGAGCACCTGCTCCGTGCCAGACCCTGTTCCAGGAACTGAGAATATAGCAGTGGTCAGGACAGACATGTTCCTTGTCCTTAGGAGGCTTATAGTCTAGTCAGAAAGACTGACATTAAAAGGCACACTCAAGCTGGGCATGGTGGCTCACTCCTGTAATCCCAGCACTTTGGGAGGCTGAGGCAGGCAGATCACCTGAGGCCAGGAGTTTGAGACCAACCTGGCCAACACGGCGAAATCCTGTCTCTACTAAAAATACAAAAATTAGCCAGATGTGTTGGCACATGGCTGTAGATACCTGGGAGGCTGAGGCATGAGAATGGCTTGAACCTGGGAGGTGGAGGTTGATGTGAGCCGAGATCGCATCACTGCACTCCAGCCTGGGTGACAAGAATAAAACTCGGTCTCAAAAAAAAAAAAAAAGGCATACTCCTATAATTCATCATTATCATCATTGTTGCCATCACAATGACTGATATACTCATTATGGGACAAGTTCTTCACCTTCATAGGCACCATCTTGGAGGAGAAGGGGCTATGCTTCTCCAAGGTCGTGTCCAAGTCTAGTTTCTGCTTTGAAATGAGTGGAAAGTCCTCCTCTTCAACCACGGGCTGTGCCTGCCTGCTACCCCTCTTGGCTTTTTTCTTGAAGTAAGCAGCGTCACCATCTCTCCAGTTGTCCTCTTCCATTCTACTGCTGAGGGGAGCCCTGGAAAGTCACAGCCATGAAGTAACTCATCCTTGATGATGACATGGAGCCCTGGAGAGAGCAGAAACATAGGAGGTAGAGAGACCCGAGTCCAAATCCCATCTCTGACACTTCATGCTGTGTGACCCTGGGTAAGTCAGTCACCCTCTCTGAACCTCATTCCTCATTTGCAAAGCAGGACCAGTAATGCCTTCTTCCAGGGTCGTGGTGAGGATTAGAGAGAATATATTTATGCTGCTTAGCACAATGCCAATGGCAGTAATAACAAAATTGTATTTTGTTGTGCCAGGTACTGGTTAAAACAGACTAGCTCATTTCAACCTCACAGCAACCCAGTAATGTAGGTAGAATTATGACAGATGAAGAAATTCAAGCACAGAGAGGTGAAGTGACTTACCTGGGCTCACTCAGCCAGGAAGCAGTGAACAGAGATTCAGAATCTGCATTGTATCCACTATGCCATGCATTGAATAGCTGGAGTCTATGCCTCTTCTGGCGTTACATTTTTGCCTCCTAGTATTCTTTGTAATTGCCAGTCCACACTTCTCATCTCCTTTCCTCTTTTTCTTATTAGGCGAGAGGCATCTTAACTCAGCTATCTTTGTGAGGGTATTAGAAAAACTGCCTACAATTCTATATAGCTACCAGCAGGGGACGCCAAAGGATCGTGGATAAGCCCGTGCGGAGCCTTAGAAGCAAGGCGAAAAATCCTTAGGAGGCTGAATTAGGAGAGCTGGGACTTTGACAACAGCGAGAGACATGTGCCCAAGCTGGCCTGGTACACAATGGATGGAGCTTATTCCTGATTTTGCCCCTGTGGGGAAACAGAATTCGGCCTTTTTACTGGAAGAACCCTGCTCAACAGAGCGCCCAGCTGTAGTTGGTCAATAAATATTTCTGCATAAATAAATATATAGATTTGAACCAGGAGGAAGTTAAGGCAGAGGCGCCTCAATACAGACAGCAAGAAGGAGCTGTCTGGCTGGGCAGGGAAACTGAGCTCATGAGGGTCCCATGCAAGGAAGAGGCCACTGAGGTTTTGCAGCTACTTCTATGAAGGTGGGGCCAGGATAAGGAAATGCCAAGAGGTCATAGGGCACCAGGAACCTGCAACAGTGGGAGTCACGGTAGGCTGAGAAATGGCCCCTTGCAAAATATGCACTCCCTCAAAAAAAGGGGGAAGGTCTTTGCAGATGTGATGAAGTTAAGGCTCTTGGGATGAGAGATTATCCCTAAATGCCATCACATGTACCCTTACAGGGGGAGGCAGAGGGAGATTTGACACACGAAGGAGATGGAGCCAGGTGTGGTTGCTCATGCTTGTAATCCCAGCACTTTGGGAGGCCAAGGTGGGCAGATAGCTTGAGGTCAGGAGTTCGAGGCCAGCCTGGCCAACATGGTAAAACCCAGTCTCTACAAACAATACAAAAATTAGCCAGGTGTGGTGAAACACACCTGTAGTCCCAGCTACTTGGGAGGCTGAGGTGGGAGGATTACTAGAACCTGGGATGTGGAGGATGCAGTGAGCTGAGATTGTACCATTGCACTCCAGCCTGGGCAACAGAGTGACACCCTGTCTCAAAAAAAAAAAAAAAAAAAAAAGAAAAAAAGAGGAAAGCACTGTGGAGATGGAATGCAGAGAAACTTAAGGGTGTCAGCCTTGAAGACTGGTGTAATGCGGCCACAAGCCAAGGAAAGTTGGCAGCCCCCTGAAATTGGAAGGGAGAATGGGGTGGGTTCTCCCCTAGAGCCGTCAAAGGGGCCCTGCTGATAACCTCAACTTTAACGCAGCCATACTGATTTCAGGCTTCTAGCCTCCATGGCTGTGAGAAAATAAATTTGCATTGTTTTCAATATGTGTGGTCATTTGTTACAGCAGCCACAGGAAAGGAACCCAGATGCAGGGAGAGGGAGTGAGGTTACTGGGCTACTTAGAGAGGACCTGCAGACAGAGAGACGCAGCCACCAGCAGAGCCCTGGCTGGGCCTGGGGGGACTCTAACTGCCTCTTCTTACCCCTCCTGCTGCAATCACCTGTTGGCGCCTCCCATGGGCTGACCCCAGCCAGAAGGTGAAGGACAGGTAAGGGAGCCATGGGTGATGCAGTCCATCGGGCCAGCCTCCAGGGCACAGAACTGGTGGTTGAGGGGGACACATGGCTCATAACCAGTGCACCTGCTCTGTGCCCAGCATGCATGTGTGTACCCAGCCAAGATCTCCATTCCCCAGGACAGCTCCAGATTTGGGTGGATTTTCCTGTCTTCAACAACAGCAACTTATGTACATTGCAATGTGCCTTAGCTTTGGTGCTTTGGAAACACTTTCTTGAAAACACCTTGACTGATTAGGAAAAAAAGAGTTATCCGTTTGATTGCAAATGGCTTAATTTTGAGCTTGGGAAAATGGGGTGACTGGATAAATGTGAGTCAGGAGTCCTACCCTCAAAGAACCTCAAACCTAACTGTATTTCATATATTCCCAAGAAGGGGACACCCAACAGTAACAGGCAGTACTTGAACTGGTGGGATTCAGGCTGAGTGGATGTAATCCGGAAGAGCCCCCAAATCCCAGGTTCATGGAGTGGATGAAAGCATGCATTTTGGAGTCATCTGCCTGGGTTTGTAATCCCAGCTCTGCCTCTTAAGAGCTGTGTCACCTTGGGCAAGACACTTAACCTCTCTGTGCCTCATTTTTCTTACCTGCAAAATGGGGATAGCGATGATAGTGGTTCCCACATAGGTGTGCTGTGATGATTAAACGTGTTAATAAGCAGACAGCGCATCACACAGTGCCTGGCTGTGGTGAGCACTCCTAAGCACTTGTTCTTATCCTCACTTAAATAAATAAGCAACTTTGGGAGGCTAAGGTAGTGGGGATCGCCTGAGCCCAGAAGTTCGAGATCAGCCTGGGCAACATGGCAAAACCCTGTCTCTACTAAAAATACAAAAAAATTAGCTGGCATTGTGGTGTGTGTCTGTAGCCCCAGCTACCTTGGAGGCTGAGGCAAGAGGACCCCTTGAGCCCAGGAGGTTGAGGCTGCAGTGAGCTGTGATCACACCACTGCCCTCCAGCCTGAGTCATGAGAGTGAGACCCTATCTCAAAAAAAAAAAAAAAAAAAAAAAAAATCAGCAACAGCTGCTAATTGCTTAGGGCTTGCTATGCACTATGAATTATTGTAATGAAATCCCTACCACCAGCCTCCAAGGTGGGTTCTACTCTTCCTCCTATTTTCCATGCTGAGGAGGCTGAGGTCAGGGACTTGTCCTATGTCACACAGTGAGAGGCAGAGCTGGACTCAAGTCTCTCTGGCTGCAAAATTTGTCTTCTTAACTATTACTCCTCGTTGCCTCTAACATGGTGCAGAGATATTTCAGGAAACAGATGACTTAAGGAAGAGTGTCACAGAGACTTCCCAGCACAGGGCTGTGCCTGAGGTCTTGCAGCTTCCCGGTCTAGAAAGATCCCTTCTTGCAAATCCTAGTACACTTTGAACTCAGTGGCACAAAGTGGCTTGGGTCATTGGAGGAACTGAGTGACCTGAATCCATCCTGGTTCCTGAACCACTGGAGGAACCACTGAAGCACCAACTGCCTGGCCATGCCCAGTAGAGCCCGAAAGAAATAGCACGTCCTGAGCTTATAAGATGGGGATGCTTAGTGCAGCATCTGAAAAATTAAAAGTCAGTGTAGTCAGAAAATGGTTCGCGAGGGCAATGCCCCTTGTATCAGCCTGGCTCTGGCCTCAATTCAAATTGAGGAAATTGAGGAGAGTTTGATGAAGGGGAAAGTTTACCAATATGTGTGCAGGGTGTGGGAGAGCACGGTGCTCAGGGCTACTCACAGCAAGGAGCAGGACGTGTCTAGTACTGAAGAGGGAGGGGAGGGCATGGCCTCTGGACCCATCAAAAGGGATGCAGGCTGTGTCTGATGGGAGCTGGGGCCTGTCAGGCATGTGATCAGCCCAAGGCAACCCTGCAGGGACGCACTGGTGGAATAAATGTTCCAGCCCAACATGCTTCCCTCCCTGCAATCTCATTTTGGGGATCCCCTTTGGCCAAACCAAACTGGAAGCCAGAGGGCACAGTGGAACCTGCAGGATCCATTCCAGGCCATCTCCCACAGCACTGAGCA
Source organism: Homo sapiens (assembly GCF_000001405.40). Taxonomy (NCBI): domain Eukaryota; kingdom Metazoa; phylum Chordata; class Mammalia; order Primates; family Hominidae; genus Homo; species Homo sapiens. Next base: position 113,984,182 of record NC_000012.12, read on the forward strand.
GCATGGAGAAGGTGGGCGTAGAGAAGGGCAGACAGCAAACAAGCCTGCTGGAAGTTTCTCATCACCTCCCCTTCTCCCTGGGGGGATGTGCAGGTGGGACTCAGGATCCCTGGGCTCCCTCTTGAGGGTTAAGTCCTTGACCCTTGGGACAAGGAGGAGAAAACCAACAACCTGTTGCAATGTCAAGCCTGAGGATTAAGTTTCTGAGCATCTTGGAGAGATGATTTAGTGAAGTGAGGTTGGGGAAGTTGCTTGACTTCTCAGCAACGTCAGAACCCAGGACCCTTGCATAAGTGTCTCCTGAAATCCTCCAGAAAAGCCTGCCTTCTTCACTCCCTCAGGGAACTTGCCCTCCTGACCCAGTGGAATCAGCGAGGCTTAGGAGAGGACCGTTTCGCTTTGTCACTTAATATCTGGGTTCAAAATTCAGCAGCTAAACTTGGAAGCTGTGTGGCCTTAGGGTAATTACTTAACCTCTCTGAGCTGGTGTCATGAAGACAAACCTCTAGACTAAAACCTGGGTTCCAAGCTCATCTCAGCCATTAGAAGTAGAGGTAGAGTGACTTCCCCAGCTGTGTGACCTTGGGAAGTCACTCTACCTCTCTGAGCCTCGGTTTTCTCATCTACAAAATAGAGTACCTATCTTGACTATTTGTTATGAATTGAATTATGTTTCTCCAAAAGAGATGTTGAAGTCCTAATTCCCGTGTGTGACCTTAGTTGGAAATAGGGTCTTTATAGATGTAATCAAATTAAGATGAGGTCTACTGGAGTAGGGTGGGCCCTACTCCAACATGACCAATGTCCTTATAAGAAGAGAACAGAGACAGACACACTGGGAGGACACCAAGTGACAATGGAAGCCCAGCCTGGAGTGATGCATCTATAAGACAGAGAATGCCAAGACTTGCCAACAACACCAGAAACTAAAGAAAAGGCACGGACTCCCCCCAGAGCCCGCAGAGGGAGCAGAGCCCTGCCAACACCTTGACTCTGAACTTCTGGCCTCCAGAACTCTGCATGAATGAATTCTGTTGTTTTAAGGAAAGCAGACTGTGATAATTTGTTACAGCAGCTCTAGAAAGTGAACACATTATTTTTCTAGGTACTAAGGTTGCATAACAAATTATCCCAGACCTGATGGTATAGTACATCCATTCATTATGCTCATGGATTCACATGGGTTAGAATTCAGATGGGACACAGGTGGGCTGGCTTGTCTGGGGCCTCAGAGGCCTCTTCTTGTAAGTTCTTAGCCTAGGCTTGTTTCAGCTTCCTCACAGCATGGTGGCTGGCCTCCAAGGTGGCTTTCCGTGGGAGCAAGAGAGACAAGCAGAAACTGTATATAGTTTTAAAATATAGCCTCTAAAGTCATGGAGCATCACTTCTGCTATACCCTGTTGGGCAGAGCAGTCATGGCCCCAAATGGATTTAAGGGTGGGGACACAGACCCGGCCACTTGCTGGGGTGGGATTTGGGGAGTGTCAGCTGCATTGTGAGAAAAAACATGTAGGATGGGAGCTGTGTATGGGATCCTGCATCCTAGGTGTGGGTGTGAGAATTAAACAAGCTCCTGTTCAGCAGAGCATTTTGGAAGCTGGGAAACACTAGATTCCCCTGCTTGTCAATGGAGGTTGTGCTTATCTGTTAGTTACAGTGGAGAGGAGGTGAATGCTAGGCGAGGGATGGATGGTCATCTCAAAGTTGATGCACAGCTCAGTAAGATTTTCCTGTCGGCTTAATAGTTATAAAAAGTGCCATTTTTCTTTGGGGGAAAGGTGCATATTCATGACCATTTTCCACCCTTGGTTAGGCAGAAGGGTTTATTTTGTGCTTCTATGAACTTGAAGGCAAATTCAATTCAACCCAAATGGGAGGGGGTCCAGGCCTGGTGGCTCATGCCTGCAATCCCAGCACTTTGGTAGGCTGAGGCAGGAGGATCACTTGAGTCCAAAAGTTCAAACCAGCCTGGGCAACATAGCAAGACCCCCTTTCCACAAAAAATACAAAAAATTAGCCGGGCATGGTTGTGCGTGCTTGTCGTCCTAGCTACTCAGGAGGCTGAGGTGGGAGTTTGAAACTGCAGTGAGCTGTGATCGCGTCACCGCACTCCTGGGTAACAGAGTGAGACCTTGTCCCAAAAAAAAAAAAAAAAAACAAAACAAAACAAATGGAAGGGGGACTCAAATGCTTCCCAAAAAGGGAAGAGCAGGCTTGTATGGACTGAATTGTGTCCTCCCATCCCAATTCATATGTTGAAGTTGTAACCTCTTATGAAACTGTATTTGAGATAGATAGGGCCTTTAAGGAGGTAATGAAGGTTAAATGAGGTCATAAGGTGACAAAATAAGACCTTGGGGCAACCCCAAAAGGGGATTTTGAATGATATCTTGGGATCAGAGGGCAAGGCTGGGCCAAGGTGCTGAGATTAATGTAAGGATGGGGTGAGGGCTGGGGTGGGAGCTCTAAGACCTGTCTTTCTCAAAGGGGATGTGGCCTCCTCTTTGGTAATTATGGCATAAAACTCTCTTCACCAATACCCACCACCAGTGCTGGGCAGATGCCTCCTAAGCTAAGATCTGCATTGCCTGGGTTCCCCTTCTGCTCCACGTGGCCGTGTGACTTAAAATGATGAAGAAGGTAATATTGAGTTTGTACAATGTGCTGAGTACTGCTGTAAGCACTTAAAAGTGACTGCCTTAGTTAATTTTCATACTAATCTCCCTATTAGGGAGATACTGTTATGATTTCTATTTTATAAATGAGAAGACCAAGGCTCAGAAAGGGGAAGTAACTTACCTAAGGTCATAAAGCCAGACAGTAGGGGTATAATCTGTCACATTTTAATTCCAGTGTTACATTGTAATTTGTACAGGTTACACTGTAACATTATGATTACAATGTTAGGCTGCCTTTCTCACAAGCAGAGCCAAAGTATTTGTTCATTCAAATGTTTAAGTTCCTACCTTATCCCGAGGCATTTTATTAATACACGCGTGATCCATCTACTCCTATGCAAACTACTGGCTTCAAAAACTATCATTATTGTTGAGACGGGCTCATACTCTGTTTCCCAGACTGGAGTGCAGTGGCATGATCTCAACTCACTGCAGCCTCAACCTCCCAGGCTTAGATGATACTCCCACCTCAGCCTCCCGAGTAGCCAGGATTACAGGCACACACCACCATGCCTGGCTAATATTTGTATATATATTTTTTGTAGACACAGGGTCTCACTATGTTGCCCAGGCTGGTGTCAAACTCCTGGGCTCAAGGAATCCTCCCATCTCAGCCCCTCAACGTGCTGGGATTACAGGCGTGAACCACCACACCTGGCTAAGGACTATTATGATGCCTATTTTGTAGATGAAGAAGGTGATGCCATGGAGGTTGAGTGACTTGCCCAAGGTCACACATCTGAAAAGTGGCAGACCTAGGATTTGAATCCAGGGCTCTCTGGTTTGGCTTTTCTGTCCGTTCTGCCACCAAGTGCAGACTTGCTGGGGAGGGGGCTGGGTGATGAAGTGCCAAGCCCAGAGGGCATGAGAGCCACAAGACCAGCCTGCCTTTCCAGGCTCTCTCTGCCCCTGGGACTCTGCCTCACTCACACATACACAGCTGCCAGGGATCAAAGTCCTCTCCAAGATGTATTTGCTGTGAGTTCTAAACAAATGAGTGTTACCATGTAGTTAAAAGAAACATTGGGAGGACACAGTGTATGAAAGCTGACTGGCCTTTAAAGTCCTATTGATTGATCAGCTTCCTCTTTGGTCTCATGCTCTTAGGGGGCCAGGGTGGAAGGGTGGGGAGACTCCGGCTCTGAGAGCATCGAGGCAGAGCTTTTCAGTACTTAGGTGGCACCTCCAGACTGCCCAATTCATCTCTGCTTCCCTCCTGGAGAGAACTCCCTTTTCAGTCTATAAATCCGTAAGACTGACACACACAAAATAATAATAAACAACTACCATTTATTGAATGAGCATGTTAATTACACTAAGCACTTTGGATACATTATCCCTTTTGAGGCAAACCACAAGGCAGATGTCTTTATTGGCCCATTTTACAGATAAGGCTAAGAGCACAGAGCTAGTAAGCAGTGAGATTGGATGCCAGTTGGCACTGAGAAAATATTGATTGATCTGGCCAGGCGCAGTAGCTCACATCTGTAATCCCAGCACTTTGGGAGGCTGAGGTGTGCAGATCACTGGAGGTGAGGAGTTAGAGACCAGCCTGGCCAACATAGCGAAACCTCGTCTCTACTAAAAATACAAAAATTAGCTGAGCATGGTGGTGGGCACCTGTAATCCCAGGTACTCGTGAGGCTGAGGCAGGAGAATCGCTTGAACTTAGAAGGCAGAGGTTGCAGTGAGCCGAGATCCCACCACTGTTCTCCAGCCTGGGCGACAGAGCAAGACTCTTTCTCAAAAAAAAAAAGAAAGAAAAAAAAAAACAAAAACCAAACCAAACCAAACCAAAACAACAACAACAACAACAAACAAAAAAATAAAGAAAAAGAGAAAATATTGATTGATCAAGATGGTGGGAAACAGATCCTGTTCTTCAGTTGTTGACGTTCTTCAGATGGAGACAGGTGGGAAATAGAATTTTGTGATTCAGTGTGATGAGGGCTAAGGCTAAGCAGGGCTGATGTTCAGCTGCTGCACAGCAAGGTGGGTCAGACCAGTTTTTTTATTGCAAATGTCTCGTCTGATTGGGTCAGAGTTGATGGTGATGGGTTATTACTGCAGCTTACCAGGTGTTAGATATTTTGATTGTCACTTTTGGCAGTTTATGTGAGAGCCTGAAGGCCACAGAGGAGGCTCTCACCTGCCCAGTTTGGGCGGTGAAGACAAACCAAGAGAAAGTGGAAAGAGGGGACCCTAGTTGAGGCTGGAAGGAGAATGAGAGCGGCGATAAAGGAAGAGAGAAGGTTCCAGGGAGGAAGAACAACCTGTGAGCACAGAGCAGGGATGAGGGAAGACTTGGCATTTGAGATCCTGGAATGTCTGCATGGTGGGATCATGCAGGACAAAGGAGGAACCATGAGAAACCAAACAGGAGACATTCACGTTGCTCTAATCCTCTTGGATCTTGGCCTTGCTAAGGAGTTGGGACATTCACCAAAGAGCTTTGGATTGCCACATCAAGATTTTGGGCAGGGGAATGAAATGGTAGATCTAACTTCAACCCCCTTGGCTGTACACAGTTCCCAGGACTGCTAGACGTCACTGCTTGGGGACTGAAGGCAGATGCTGCATCTAGTGAGAGAAGAACAATTAGGGCATCTGTTTGTTCTGGCCTTTCTGCGTCTCAGTTTGCACACCTGTTAAAACCAATATATAATACCACTTGATAATATAACGGTGGTTGTGCAGGTTGGAAATAATGTATGCAAAGTGCCTGGCACAGATCACTCTTGAAAAAGGCAGGTGGCTTTGTCTCAGGTCCGGTAAGAGTTTGTGGCTTTGGAGTTTCTGATGGTGGGAATTCAAGCCCATCCAGAACACCATAAATTTTTATTTTGCCTATGGGAATTGGAAACTGGAGTGAGAGAGGGTAGATGGTGTTTGCTACTTGCCAATCAGGTTGCAGGTGCTGGGGGTTCCTTGTATATTCCAGCATTTTTTTCAGCCTTATATCATGCCTGCCTATCTATCTATCTATCTATCTATCTATCTATCTATCTATCTATCTATCTCTGTCTGTCTATCTATCATGTATCTATCAATCATCAATCTATCAATCATCTATGTATGTATCATCTATCAATGTATCTCATCTCTCTCATCATGCCTTTTAGAAAATTGTTATCAAAGCATATATACCATTTTATATTTTGCTTAAATTTTATAATTTTTTAAATAAAAATAACATATATTAATTCTGCAAAACAGAGATGAGCCTGTTTCTGGAATCCAGTGAACATTTAATACATCTTAGGTGTTATTATTTCAAAACATGCTCATAAATTTTGTTGAATTGATGAATGAAGAAAAAAAAGCAAAGGGAAGTGCCTTCTCCCTACCCATATGTGGCCAGCCACTGAATATTCTGGCGTATGCACTTCCAGTGTTTTTTTTTTTCCTTTTTCTCGGTTCTTATAACTGTATTTTAAAAAGTAAAATGTCACAAGGCTATCTCCTACATGCTGTTTCATGCTTTTTTTATTTAATTAACTGTAAACAGAAAATTCAGCTCTTGAGAAACCTGGTAGAAAAGATGGCTGGAGCCAGTGCTTTGAGTCAGATGGGTATTATTGTCATGGGTAGAGCTACTGGCAGCCTCTTCCTTCATCTCTGAGATTTTGTTTCTTAACTCATTTTGAGGCTAGGGCCCTGAATCTAGCTCCAGCCTTTTCAAAGTTAAGCATCAGTTTCTCTGCTCAGCATTGGTGGACCCTGGTCCTTCTGAGACCTTGCAGTGACAAGAGTAGGTCCCCAAGCCCAGCTGGCTCCCCCCTGACCCAGCCTATCCCTGCACAGTGGCCCAGCGTGTCTCCATTGTCACGTGGCTGTTCCTCCACCCTCCCGCCCTCCCACCTCTCTCTTATGTGCATCCATAATCATGTGCTTTGGGGAGGGACTGGGTAACAGCTGCCTTTGATCAGCCCAACATCTGGGCTGACGGGTGATCAAAGATGGGAACGCTGTGACAGCCGAGACTTGGCTGGGACCCAGCCTGGCTAAATACACATATGGGGGAGGGAAAGGATAGGCCTGGGAGTAGAGAGGAAGAGGGATGGGGGCGGGGGAAGGTCGCAGAAGCAACCCACCAAACCCAAGGGACCTGGTGGAAGGGCAGTGGGTAGAAGCATGAGCTTTGCCTCTGTGACCTTAACTCTCTGAGCCTCAGTTTTCTTTCCTGTAAAATGGGACAATAATGTGAGGACAAAATGAGGTAAGGAATAGAACAGTGCCTGGTTCCAGGAGCAAGAGCTCATATACACCACCTGTTATTGCTGTGCTGGGATTATTGCTGTTCTTATTCCTGGGACCAGTCAGGGAGGGAATGAGAGAGTCTGGTCTTTCCGAAAGCTTTAGTGCCTGCAAGTTTGTAATGAACCATTTCGAGCCTCAATTTTCCCATGTGTAAAACGGAGAGCCATGACAGGACTTTGGAATTTGACAGGGACAATTTCTTTCCATTTTACCAGTGGAGAAACTGAGGTCTTGAGATGAGAGGTCATGCAATGAGGAACCAGCCCACTGTATTCCCACCTGGGAGTTGTCCCAAATTGGCTGGTTGGGCTCCTGCTCAGGAGTGCTACCAATAAAAAGGAGCCCAAAGCAATGTCACTGGGCATTTTATATAAGTCAAAAATGTATCCACTTTCTCCTACAGCTTGGAGTTTAATAACATCACCACCACCGGCAGCAGCAGGTTATTTTATTTTTTGCTTTAGACTTCTCATTAAAATATATGATATATACACAAGAGTGCACTTATCAGCACATTTGACTTATCAATAACTGTACCCACCCACTGGAACCAGCAGCTGAGTAGAGAAGCAGAGCATTCCCGGCCCCCATGGAAACCCCTCTTGTACACCCTTCTAGTCACTGTCCCCTCCACTAAGAACCAGCTGAGATAGGCACTGACCTTCATAAATCTTGCCACCACACTATGAGGCTAGTGCTATTATCAGGCCCATTTTACAGATGAGAAAATGGAGGCATAAAGAGTCTAAGTAACTTGTCCACACATTGGTAGGCAGGGCTTCAAAGCTCCAAGTCCTGGCTGCAGGGCTGTAAGCACTTGCTGCTTTAGGGATACTGCTCTTCCGGGGATGATCGCTTGCAGGGATGGCACTCTTGGGAGTGGGTCAGGAGGGAGAATGTGTTTTGTATTTTGGGAGGAGGGTATATTAGGAAAGCAAGCTTACAAATAATAGCTGTGTAATGCCTCAGGGCTTCTTTTTGTATATGCAAGTTGTATATGCAAAGTTGCCCCCAAATGCCAGGGAAGCCAGGAAACCAAGAAGGAAACAGACACATCCAATTTGTTGGTATAGGGGGTTTAATTAGGGGAAATTACAGGCAGAAGCATGGTCTTGGGTGGCCGCAAGACCGTGGTCTTAGGTTTCTGCACTATTACTCCCTAGACCCAGGGCTTACCTACCATAGGGAGAGGGGTACATGCTCCAGCAAGACAACTAAAGGCCATGACGTGATGTATGTCATGTCCTGCCATATATATGATAACATTAGGGTTGATGTGTTCTTATGCTAGGGACATATAGCAGAAACTGGAGGGAGTTCATGGGACTGGGGCTGATCAGAAGTCAGCCTGGAGGACTAGCACTCAACCCAGAGTCTATTCTGTCTTTGCAAGTGGCCAGCAGCTTACTCTCAGGAGCAGGAAAGATGTGGCCGCTCCTGCCCCTGCCTGCCTCTGTCTCCTCCCACCCCCTCAATTCTCTCCTCCAAAAGCTTTGTCTGTCCACATAGGGGATGTGCTGTTGACACCAGGGAGAAGCCCACTTCTCCTTCCTCTGTGATCTGGCATGCAGAATGTCTCAGCCTGGGCCTGAAAGCAGAGCTTGAGGCAAAGGTTCATGTGCAGGCAGTTTTCTTGGGAAGTGACCTGATATGGTTTGGCTCTGTATCCCCACCCAAATCCCATCTTGAATTGTAATAATCCCCAAGTGTCAAGGGCAGGGCCACGTGGAGATAACTGAGTCATGGGAGTTTTATCCCCATACTGTTCTCATAGTAATGAATAAGTCCCATGAGATCTAATGGTTTTATACAGGGGAGTTCCCCTGCACACGGTCTCTTGCCTGTCACCATGTAAGACGTGACTTTGCTCCTCCTTCGCTTCCCACCATGATTGTGAAGCCTCCCCAGCCATGTGGAACTGTGAGTCCATTAAACCTCTTTCCTTTATAAATTACCCAGTCTCAGGTATGTCTTTATTTTTATTTTTTGAGAAGGAGTCTCACTCTGTTGCCCAGGCTGGAGTGCAGTGGTGCAGTCTCGGCTCACTGCCACCTCTGCCTCCCAGGTTCAAGCGATTCTCATGCCTCAGCTTCTCAAGTAGTTGGGATTACAGGCATGCACCAGCACACCCAGCTAATCTGTGTATTTTTTTCCTAGTAGAGATGGGTTTTTACCATGTTGGCCAGGCTAGTCTCGAACTCCTGACCTCCAATGATCTGCCCCCGTCAGCCTCCCAAAGTGCTGGAATTACAGGCATGAGCCACCCCACCCAGCCTCCAGTATGTCTTTATTAACAGCATTAGAACAGACTAATACATGATACCAGGGAGAAGGAAAAAGGGACAACGTAGGAAGGAGAGGACTTGGCCACCACTACAGGCAACTGGTGCATATTTTGCAGGATCTATGAAGCCTTCTGAGAGGCATCTCAGAAGTGTCTGCCCAGGGCAGGAGGGAGAGAAGAAGTTATCCATGGGCTCCCTTCCCCCCTTGGTCAAGGCAGTCCTGTGGCTTTTAACTCATCCAGCTTTTAGGTTGTGTGATAATGTGGTCTTTGCTTTACTGAGGGTATCCACAAGCTCCTGCACCAAGCCGGTGGCAGCTGACCTGCAGCTGCTTGCCCCATCAGCGGTAGGGGTAAGGGATGGGCCTGAGTAAACAGAAAGAGGTGCATGAAAGGAGGTGGAGACACTGGATGCCACTAGGGAGGCTTCTCAGAGCCCATGGGCTGAGGCTGGCTCATTCTCCCCATAGTCAACCAGTCCCCTCCACTCTCAGGGGTCCTTCCTCCCTCCCACCCCCTACTCAGATGAACACTCTTCTTCCGTCCTTTGCCCCAGCACCATCCCTGACAACTCAAGATATTGGCCTATCCGACTTTAAGACGCTCTGTTATGGGCCAAACTGTGTTTCCCAAATATTCACATGTTGATGTCCTGACCCCCAGTATCTCAAAATGTCACCTTATTTAGAAATAGGTAGGTTGAGTGCAGTGGCTCACACCTGTAATCCCAGCACTTAGGGAGGCTGAGTTGGATTACTTGAGGAGTTCGAGACCAGCCTGGGCAACATAGAGAGACCGCCCCCCATCTCTACAAAAAAATAAAGAAGTTACTCAGGCATGGTGACATGGTGGTGCACACCTGTGGTCCCAGCTACTCAGGAGGCTGGAGTAGGAGGATCCTGTGAGCCCAGGAGGTTGAGGCTGCAGTGAACTGTGATCACACCACTGCACTCCAGCCTGGGTAGCAGAGAAAAGCCCTGTCTCAAGAAAAAAAATATTTAAAAAGGTAGTCACAAATGTAATTTGTTGAGATGAGGTCATACCGGATAGGGTGGCTCTAAATCTTATAGAATTTGTATCTTTATAAAGAGGGGAAATGTGGACACAGACAAACACACACACACACACACACACACATGCACACGGAGAACACCATGTCAAGGTGAAGGCAGAGATCTGGGTGAAAGCTCTACAAGCCAAGGAATGCCAAAGATGCCAGCAATTATCAGAAGCCAGAGAGAGGCATGGGCCAGGTTCACCCACAGAGCCCTCAGAAGAGACTGATTGTGCCAACCTGGGTCTTGGACTTCTGTTCTTCCTGAACTGTAAGACAGTAAATTTATTGTTTATCTGGCATGAGCCACCCAATCTGTGGTTTTGTTTGTTTTGTTTGAGATCGGGTCTCGCTCTTTTGCTCAGGATGGAGTGCAGTGGCGCGATCACTGCTCACTGCAGCTTCGAACTCCTGGGCTCAAGTGATCCTTCTACCTCTGCTTTCCAAGTAGGTGGGACTACATTGCACAGCTTCTGCCTGCCTAATTTTTAAGATTTTTTTTTTTTTCCCTTTTGTAGAGACAGGGTATTGCTATGTTGCCCAGGCTGGTCTTGAACTTCTGGGCTCAAGTGATCCTCCCACCTTGGCCTCCCAAAGTGTGGGATTACAGGCTTGAACCACCATACTCAGCTCTTCAATCTGTGTGTGTGTGTTTGTTTGTGTTTTTTTTTTGTTTTTGTTTTTGTTTTTTTTGACAGAGTCTCATTCTGTCACCCAGGCTGGAGCGCAGTGGCACGATCTTGGCTCACTGCAACCTCCATCTCCCAGGTTCCAGTGATTCTTGTGCCTCAGCCTCACAAGTAGTTGAGATTACAGGTGCCTACCACTACATCTGACTAATTTTTGTGTTTATGGTAGAGACAAGGTTTTGCCATGTTGGCCAAGCTGGTCTTGAACTCCTGAGCTCAAGTGATCTGCCCACCTTGGCCTCCCAAAGTGCTGGGATTACAGTTATGAGCCACCGTGCCCAGCCTGTAGTATTTTGTTTAAACAGCTCTAGCAAACTAATAAACATCCTGATATAGAAAATTCAATTCTACCAAAGAGAGGAACTTTTATCTTGGATTTATTTTGGGTCATGAGCCACCTGGATAATCAAATGAAACAATGGATCCTCTCTACAAAGAACTCATACGCACATCGAATTTTGAAGACAACTTTCAGAAGCTCTCCAATATCCTCAAGGCTATTGGTGGCTTCATGGGGGAGTGAAGAAACATCTCTGGGCTGACCAAGTCAAGTAGGTTTGATATACAGATGTTCTTTTGTTATGAGCTACCTTTGTAGAAGCATAAATTGTGAGCAGGGAGAGAAATCTATAACTTTCACAATAAGAAGAGCAGGGTGGCAGAAACTGTTAGCAGGGATTTAGTATAAATAAATGCCCAGTGAGGTCATATCACAGATGCTGACTTATAATAGGGAGCTTTCTGCGGGCTCTTGAGAAGGAGAGACATACCCAGGAAGAGGAGCCACTACTTTGTACACCAACGGAAGTCCCACAAGTTTAATTCATTTTAATCTGATCGCCCAGCTGTCTAGCAGATTTGCATTGTTGATGTCCCACTCAGATTCTCTTTCTTTTACTGCTTCTGTGCAAATATTCTCTGGCTTCTAGGAGCTCTGGCTTCTTGTGGTTGCGACTGTGGCTCTCTCTGGAGGCCTGCTTTTAGGCTACCAACTGCTCTGCCTGCAAGCCCAGAGGGCTGATGGCATCAGGAGGGAGTGCAGCTCTGGGGTGACCCCTAGCTGAAGACTGACCGGTGTAGGAGCATGAAAACCCAACTTCTCTGCCTTGAGTGAGTGGGGACGCACTCAGAGCGTAATTTATGCTGAGAGCTCCCCAGCAGGCTCAGCTAGTGCTGAGGCTTTGCTGAAATCTCACGCTGGCTTGGCTTCTTCCCTTCCCCACTTTTGCTCCCCCCATCGCCTGTTGGTTTCTCTTGGAGCACGTCCTTAATAAATCACTTGTGCAAGACTCCTCGGGTCTGTTCCTGCCTCTGCAAACCTGACATAAGACACAAGACAGGGAGGTTTAGACCCTTCTAAGCCCCCCACCTCCTGAATATCTTCTCAAATATGTTAGGCTGTCTACTGTGGCCCAGGTCCAAATTGTGCGTAAGTGGTTCAAGGAGAGACTTGAGTATCGTGAGAGAGAATAACAGGGGAAACCTCCATCAGTTAATGAGGTGATCAGGGAAGGTGATCTCACATTAAACCATGGTTTCTCCATCTTGCTACTATTGACATTTTGAGCTGGATAATTCTTTGATGGGAAAGGCTGTCCCGGGCATTTTAGGATATTGAGCAGAATCTCTGGCCTCTATCCATGAGAGGCCAGTAGGATTCCTCCAGCTGTGATAATAAAAAATGTCTCCAGGCCAGGTGTGGTGGATCATGCCTGTAATCCCAGCACTTTGGGAGGCTGAGGATGGAGGATCGCTTGAGTCCAGGAGTTTGAGACCAGCCTGGGCAACATAGTGAGACCCTGTCCTGGAAAAAAAAAAAAAAAAGAGTTAAAACAACTTGGCTGTGGTGTCACGTGCCTGTGGTCCCAGCTTCGCAGGAGGCTGAGGCAGGAGGATCGATTGAGCCTGGGAAGTCCAGGCTGCAGTGAGCTATGATCATGACATTAGACTTCAGCCTGGGTGACAGAGCAAGACCTTGTCTCTTTCTTTTTTAAAAAAAGGCTCCAGACATTTCCAAATGTCCCCTGGTTGAGAACAACCACAATAAACCAAGGCCTGAGAGAAGAGTAAGGCTTAGCCAAGAGAAGTCAGTATTCCAGGTAGCAGGAATAGCATGTGCAAAAGCCCAGCGGTGGGAAGAACTTAGATCACTGGGGGAGACAAAGGAGGACAGTGCAGCTGAGTACACAGAGAAGGGGAGAAGCAGTGTGAGATGAAGCTGGAAGGGTGGGCAGAAGCCAGATCATGCAGGGACATGCAGGCCACTACAAAGACTTTAGATCTTAAGAGAAATAGAAAGCCACAGATGGGATTTTCCCCATTCAATTTATTTGTCAAATACCTGCTCTGTTCCAGATAGTATGTGAGTGAGGGTGAGAGAAGGGGTTTCAGAGGAAGGATTGTAATGAGTGGTGAGGTCACCTCTGTGTATATAGTCATAGTTGAGAGGACCAAATCTGTGCATTTCTTCTCAGTTCTACATTCAGTGACGTCCTATCAGTAGCTTGACCTTGCATGTGTGGGCATATTTATACCTCTGAAGTCGGCTAGTGCTACAAATCAGGACCTCACCCTCCACGTGCCTTACAAGATCACAGTATCCACAAATAGAGTTTTACTCCATCCTTCCTTTCTAATCTGATTGCTTTTTCTATTTCTTGCCTAATTCCCTGGCTTGACTCTTCAGCAAAATAGTGACTAGAAGTGGTAAGAATGGCCATCCTTATCATGTTCCTGATCTTAAAGGAAATGCTTTCAATTTTTTGTCATTAAGTATGATGTTTGCTGTTGGCTTTTTTTCTCCTTTTTTGAGACTTGTTCTGGCTCTGTCACCCAGGTTGGAGTGTGGTGGCATGATCATAGCTCACTGCAGCCTCCACCTCCTGGGCTCAAGCAACCCTCCTGCCTCTGCCTCCCAAGTAGCTATGACTACAGGCATGCACCACCATGCCTGGTTAATTTTTGTATTTTTTGTAGAGGTGGGGGTCTCACCATGTTGCCGATACTGGTCTTGAACTCCTGGGCTCAAGTGATCTGCCCACCTTGGCCTCCCAAAGTGCTGAGATTACAGGTGTGAGCCACCATGCCTGGCCCTGGTTTCTTACAGATGCTCTTTATCAGGTTGAGGAAGTTCCCTTTGATTCCTAAGTTGTCGAGTATTATTTTTTCTTCATAAAAGGGTGTTAGAAGCCGGGCGTGGTGGCTCACACCTGTAGTCCTAGCACTTTAGGAGGCTGAGGCAGGTGGATCACGAGGTCAGGAGTTCGAGACCAGCCTGGCAGAGTCAGGTGAAACCCTGTCTCTACTAGAAAAAAATACAAAAATTAGCTGGGCGTGGTGGTGTGCACCTGTAGTCTCAGCTACTCGGGGGGCTGAGGCAGAAGAATCGCTTGAACCTGGGAGGTGGAGGTTGCAGTGAGCCGAGGTTGCACCACTGCACTCCAGCCTGGGCAACAGAGAAGACTCTGTCTCAAAAAAAAAAAAAAAAAAAGTGTTAGATTTGCAGAAGGATTTGCAGAGGAGTATGCTCTGGTCTGAATGTTTGTGTCCTGTGAAATCCTAACACCTAAGGCACCGGTCTTAGCAGGAGGGGCCTTTGGGAGGTGATTAAGTCATGGGATAGAGCCCTCAGGAAAGGGATTAGTGCCTTATAAAAGATCCACAGAGAGCTCGCTAGTCCCTTTCACCATGTGAAGATGTGGCAAGAAGGCACCATCTCTAAGCCAGAAAATGGACTCTCACTGGGCACTTTGATCTTGAACTTCCCGGCCTCTGGAACAGTGAGAAATTTCTGTTGTTTCTAAGCTACCTAGTGTATGATATTTTGTTATACCTAGCCTATGATATTTTGTTATAGCAGCCTGAATGGTTGATTTTTACTTTTAAAAGCTCCGTCTGGTCATTTTGAAGAAAATGGGGAGGATTGAAGGTAGGAGTGGAGGCAGGGAGACAGGGTGGACACTGTGTGGTCACCCATGAGAGATGATGGTGGCTTCAACTCTGGTAGCAGCAATAAAAAGAAGGGTGTTGCCTCAGGAGGTACTGTGGAGGGGAAGAGGATAGCACATATTGCCCTAGGTTGGGATTCGTAGAAGCAGAGTCCAGAAGTTGGGGAGGGCTTGAGCCAGGATGTGCTCTCAGGTGCAGTCTAGCCTTGGCCTGACCCTCAGGGGGATACTGGAGCATAAACTGCATTACAGAATTGTCCCTATATCAGTCAATCTCACCAGCTGCCCCCGGTGAGAAGTGGTATGGCCTCCAGAGGTCTGCATTTCTGGGTGAAGTGGCTTGACTCAGCCAAAGTTAATTCTCCAGGCAAGGTGGTTGGTGGTTGTAAGCTGCCTGTAGTACTTGCAGCATTTAAAGAATGGGTACATTAGTGTCAAAGGAGATGAGGGGGGTGAGGGGGATGTCAGCTGCATCTACAGCATTCATGGACCATGTACATGGGACTCAGCATTGTGCCTGGGGGGGTGAAGAGGAGTATGGAACTAATGTTTGCACTTGAATAACCAATATCCTTGAAAAGATCAGGGTTGGCTAGGGGTGTGTTTATGTGTGTGTGTGTGTGTGTGTGTGTGTGTGTGTGTAGTTAGCAAGACTAATGAACCACATGGTTTTTCTCAGGACAGAGGGGTTTCCCAGGATGCAAGAGTTTTCTATGTTAAAATCAGGAGAGTCCCAGGCAAACCAGGATGGTAAATCATCCTATTAGCGGAAGGTGGGCTGAGCCACCTAATCCATAGGATTCTCATATATCAGCTTTACCTGCAGACCAGAGGTGACATACCTCTAAGTCTATTCCTAATAGTATGTCACAATAAACTGATAAGCTGAAGCATCTTCCAGACATTTCCTTATTTTCCTCCTGGGGTAGCAGAAGATGGCAATTTGGTGGCTGTTGACCTGAGCCCTAGTTTTGAAGATGGGGAGATTTTGACTCAAGATTATTTCTGTGCTGATGGGTCACGAGGCTGAGTCAGAGGATCCACCCTCCTGTTTCTGCTTCCCAACTGCTACCAGGAATTGGGACTCTGATTTCTGGTCTTCCCACATTTGCATCTTTCTACTCGACAATCTCTCTAAAAAGAGAGAGTGACCAGTTTAGATCACTGCATTAGTTTGTTTTCACACTGCTGATAAAGACATACCCAAGCTGGGCAATTTACAAAAGAAAGAGGTTTAATTGGACTCACAGTTCCACGTGTCTGGGAGGCCTCACAATCATGGCAGAAGGCAAGGAGGAGCAAGTCACATCTTACGTGGATGGTGGCAGGCAAAGAGAGAGCGTGTGCAGGGCAACGCCGGTTTTTAAAACCATCAGATCTCATGAGACCCATTCACTATCATCAGAACAACACAAGAAGGCCCGCCCACATAATTCAATCATCTCCCACCGGGTCTCTCCCACAACACATGGGAGTTATGGGAGCTACAAGATGAGATTTGGGTGGAGACACAGAGCCAAACCATGCCAATCATGAAGGCTTCTTTATATCTCCAGGCCACCAAAAAAGGCTTCAGCTGTCTCTGAGCACACCCTGGCTCTCTCTTTTTTTTTTTTTTTTTTTTTTTTTGAGATGGAGTTTCACTCTTGTTGCCCAGGCTGGAGTGCAATGGCACGATCTTGGCTCACTGCAACCTCTGCCTACCGGGTTCAAGCAATTCTCCTGCCTCAGCCTCCCGAGTAGCTGGGATTACAGGCATGCACCACCATGTCCGGCTAATTTTGTATTTTTAGTAGAGATGGGGTTTTTCCGTGTTGGTCAGGCTGATCTTGAACTCCCCAAACCTCAGGTGATCCACCTGCTTCAGCCTCCCAAAGTGCCGTGATTACGGGCGTGAGCCACCTCACATGGCCACCCTGGCTTTCTTCTCTACAAGGATGGGAGACGCAAATAACCTTCTTATAAAATGACTATCTCCCGGACCCTCCTCCCAGGCTCTGCCAAGATACAGACAGTCTCTGCCTTTTCTCCTGAGCCCAGCACCCAGCTGTCTTGGAGAAAATGAGCCACTTGTGAGCCCTGCAGGGCTGCCCTGCCCAGGGTGGTCCACTGGCATCTCTGTGAGCCTGACCTCTTCTGCCCTGGGCTCGGCTGGCCCTGTCTAGGGAACTGGCTGGACTCCCCAGGGCTCCTGGACAGCTTATGACCAGGGAATGGAAAACCGCCTCCCATGCTGGTTAGAATTTTGAGTTTTCTTGGAAGCATTTGATGATTTTTCAAAAACCTTATTCTACTTCTTTTCCAAAAGCAGCCCATAAAACAATCTTACAGCCAAAGGAAATGCATCTTGGGCACCACCCAGGCATGGGCAAGCTGATGAAGAGAGATTTCTTTTTACTCCTTTCTGTCTAGTGCTTTAAGAATGTGATAACTTGGTCTTGTGTTCTCAACATTTAGAGAAGGTTGTGTGTGTGTGTGTGTTTCAAATGTGCCACTTAGTGATCTCCAGGTCTCTGGATCCTGAGAATATCCTAGTTTAGCCATTCCACCTCCTGCCCGCATAAGACTCTCTACAGGCTAATAGTCACCCCCTTTTGAATGGAATTTGAAAAAAAAAATCTGTTGCATAAATTGTAGCATGTTGAGGGTGGAGAGATGAGAGGGTGTCCAGGCTGAGAGCCTGCATGGGGCTCTGACCTGGGTTCTGTGATATCTAGAACTGCAGGCACTTTGCCTATTTGAGGTGGGATAGGAGCAAGGGAGGCTGCTGTGTGCTCCAGAGGGAGGTTGCAATGCTGGGCAGCTCAGGAAGCACCCTGGGAAGCCCTCTTCTCCTAATATCCTAATATTACCTGCATTGGTGGATAGAAGCCTAGCCAAGCATATCAGACACATGAAAACAACCTCAGCCCACATCAGCAGAAGGATCAAAGATTCAAACCCCTAGTTTGGGAGGTATCTTGGGCTGGACTCCCCTAGAAGCCAACCTAGAAACAATGAATCCAGTGAAAGTAGTTTGTTTGGGAGGTGAGCCCAGGAAGCACTCAGAAAGGGGCAGGGAAATGAGATGGGGAAGAGAGAGAACCGAGCCCGTGGCTCCAGAACCCTGTCTCTTATTCTTCATTCATAACAGAAAAGCTTTGACTTGGTGGCTGGCTTTAACTGTGTTAAAACAAGTTGTCTGAAATGCAGCGCTTTAAAAACCCGTGTATAATATTTTATGTGTCTGTGCCAGCTTCTATAACAAAGTGCTACAGACTGGGTAGCTTAAACAGAAGTGTCTTCTCTCACCATTCTGGGGGCTAGAAGTCCAAGATCAAGGTGTGGGCAGGGCTGGTTGCTTCTGGGGCCTCTCTCTTGGCTTGTTGATGGCCTCCTCCCTGTATCTTCACATGGTCATCCCTCCGTGTGTGTGTGTGTGTGTCCTAATCTCTCCTTAGGAAACAAATCATATTGGATTAGGGCCCACCCTAACAGCCTCCTTCAGCTAAATTACCTCTTTAAAGATCCTATCTCTTGCTGGGTGTGGTGGCTCATGCTTGTGATCCCAGCTCTTTGGGAGGCCGAGGCAGGTAGATCACCTGAGGTCAGGAGTTCGAGACCAGCTTGGCCAATATGGTGAAACTCCCTCTGTACTAAAAATACAAAAATTAGCCAGGCATGGTGGCAGTCACCGGTAATTCCAGCTACTTGGGAGGCTGAGGCCAGGAGAGTCACTTGAACCTGGGAGGCGGAGGTTGCAGTGAGCCGAGAACGTGCCATTGCACTTCAGCCTGGGTGACAAGAGTGAAACTCTGTCTCAAAACACACACACACACACACACACACACACACACACACACACACACACACCCCAACCCCCTCCCCCATCTCCAAATACAATTCCATTCTGAGGTACTAGGGTTAGGAATTTAATTAATTAATTTTTAGATACGGGGTCTTATTGTGTTGCCCAGGCTGGAGTGCCGTGGTGCAGTGATAGCTCGTTGCAACCTTAGACGAGATCAGGCACATTAGGGTGGTATGGCCACACTCGCTGCAGCCTCCAACTCCCAGGCTCAACAATTCTCCCACCCCGGCTTCCCTGGTAGCTGGGACTACAGGCACGCACCACCATGCTCGGCTTAGGAATTTAACCTATGAATTTTGGGGGCTACAGTTTAGCAGATAAGAGATAGTGACACTGGAAGGTGTATTGCAAGCCACAGGATCCTTTTTGCTTACTATCAGGATGGTTGAGTTTTTGGTTTGTCTTGGAGGTATCTTTATTCTCTACAATACAGTCCCTTAGTGTATTTCATTAAGTGATCATCTTTAAGAGGCTTCTCGACTGTGGCATCCAGCATACGCTATGGTGAACTCATCCCGCTAGGAATAATTATGCCCTGTCTGAATTAGGGATTTAGGCTAACGAGGAGTTATAAGTGCCAGGTGGTTTCCACGAGCATTGCACACTTGCAGGGATTGAGGTTGTTCTAGGTGGGGGTTCTCAGGCTTGACTTCATCAGTGAGTGCTGAAAACTCCTTATGGCAAGCCCAGCTCAGACCAATTACAGTCTGGTTTTCTGGGGGTGGGGCCTGGCATCAGGGCTTTTAAAACATCCCAGGTGACTCCACTGTGCAGCCAGACTGTAGGAAACACCTTTTTAGGCTAATGTATCTTCCCTAAGTAATACTTTGTCATTCAAAGTAAAATAATGGAGAAGGCTCCTGTAATACGGAAACTTTGTAAGAATTCAAAGATAAGGCAAATTCTTCTTCTCTAAGGACTGTATATTATAGATATGTGATAATATATATGTATTATAGTATATAACTGCAATGTATGGTTGATACACACACACACACACACACACACACACACACACATATATATATATATATTTTTTTTTTTTTTTTTGAGACAGAGTCTCATTCTGTCACCCAGGCTGGAGTGCAATGGCATGATCTTAGCTCACTGCAACCTCCGCCTCCCAGGTTCAAGCAATTGTCTTCCCTCAGCCTCCCGAGTAGCTGGGATTATAGGTGCCAGCCACCATGCCTGGCTAATTTTTTGTGTTTTTAGTAAAGACGGGGTTTTGTCATGTTGGCCAGGCTTGTCTCAAACTCCTGACCTCAGGAGATCCACCCGCCTCTGCCTCCCAAAGTGCTGGGATTATAGGCAGAGCCACCCCACCCAGCTGATATGTTATATATTAATGTATATTATATAATATATGTTTTGGAGGTGGAAGGATTCTCTGTCTTCTGTTCAGGCATGGGAAGTAATTTGGTTTCTGTCTGTCTGTCTGCTTCTGTATAGGATCTTGTCTATTTCCACCCCATTCTCTACCCCTCTAGATTTACTCTCCACCCTGTTCTGTATCCTGCAAGGCTGACCTGTAAGCACCATCCATGTACCCCCTTAGCCTTGACTTCTGGTTGGTTCTGGCCAGCCTGAAGCGGGAGCCTAGACAAAGGAGAGTTAGGTCAGGTTGTTGGTTTGTGTGGCTCCCTCTCTAGGAGGTGGTCTTGGGCTGACCACGCAGATCCCTGTTTCTCTCAAGTTGGCCCGCTCTGCACATCTCCCTTTGCTTACAGGTTGTGATAGTTCCTCCCCTTGGTCCCTTCTGGTCTAAGATTGGCAATAATTTTCCTCTGCTACCCAGAATCCTGTGTCCTCCCTCCTGGTCCCCTTCCACCCTGCCATACTCCTGCAATGAGTGCTTTGTAGATCATCCTAACTGCACTGTGTAATCCTGTTGGGACCCTAACTAGTAGGTTGTAAATGGAAAATCAGCTCTATTTGCTGTCACTTGCAGGGAACCATCATCATAAATGTAATAAAAATGATGTTTATTTTTGACCAAATGAAATAAAGTCTTTGGGTGTCTATTTAAATGGACATGTTAAAATCATAATAGCACTAAGCTGAGACTTTCTTCTCCAGGTAACCTAAAAGGTTGAATAGGAATAAACAATGAGTTAGTTAATGAGTGTGGAATTGGCTTTCCCAAGATCATTTAATGCTATGTGCACACATTCTATCCCATTCTGAACCACCAATGCAAGATGGTCCACCCCAGTCTTTAAAATGTACCCAGGATTTATTTTAATCATAGATGGTAAGATACACAGACATGGAAATGACTGTTATGAAGAAAGAAGGTTTCCTCACATGACCCTAAAAACAGGAGACATATCACCTACGGAAGGCCGCACAGGGCAGCACCAGAGTTGGCCAGGAGGTAGTGGGAGAGGGAGGCAAAACGTCGGCAAGAACCTTTATTGTGGCTTTTGCAGGAAGACAAGACAAGGCAGGGTAGGTTTGCTTAGGATTGGCAAATTGGGGTAATTCTAGCAGGTTCTGGAGCATAGACACAGAGGGGCTGTCCCTAGTTTTCTACTCCCCAGCCCCGGGGTGATTAAGGCAGGGGAATAGTGGCCTGACTGTGAGAGCCCACTAGAAAAGGTGGCTGGGCTGTGGGCTTCAGATCGGTTGGTTTACACATGACAGGTGCACTTGCAGATGAATTCCTGACTATCTCTAGAAATTAGCTACCCCTGGGAAGGACATTCTCTCCAGGATCAGTGAAGCCCCAGGTGTCAACACATCAGAAAACACAATTTATGCACCTACCTCGCAACAACCAAAGAGGAAGGGGAAGGAGAAGGGAGGATGAGCTTCCCTAGGCCACATGAAAGATCTGTTAAATTTCACTGCTCATAAAAGTGGTTATGAGGTTGCTAATGTCCCTGCTGGTCCCTTGGTGATATTTGTTACCCAGAATTCAGAACCAGCCAAGGGTGGGGAAAGGGTAAGAAAGGAAACTCAGGGGGAGGAGACACAGAGCCGGCTGCAGGGCAGTGGCAGACAGAGCCTTGGCAGAAAGGACTGAAGAGCACTGTGTCCAATGGGACAGGCATGTGGTCAAGTCTAGTTAGCCAGGTGACAACCACTGGACAAGCAAACTCTGCCAGGACACAGTAGCCCTGAGGCTCCCGATACACAGGATCACCTAGGATCACATGAGCATCCAGGGAAGGAGAGATGGACGGATGGAGGGTGAGAGAGAGAACC
Organism: Homo sapiens; assembly: GCF_000001405.40. Classification (NCBI taxonomy): domain Eukaryota; kingdom Metazoa; phylum Chordata; class Mammalia; order Primates; family Hominidae; genus Homo; species Homo sapiens. The sequence continues at coordinate 114,006,154 of NC_000012.12, forward strand.
CTGGGCTGTTCTGCAGCCTACAGTCTGTCTGCTCAGCTGGGACCCAGCGAGAAGTGGAGACTCACTCAAGGTCTCACAACAAGGGTGGGGCAGAGCAGGTTCTGAGATTCAGGTCTTTTTTTTTTTTCTTAGATGGAATCTTGCTCTGTTGCCCAGGCTGGAGTGCAGTGGCATGACATCAGCTCACTGCAACCTCTGCCTCCCAGGTTCAAGCAATTCTCCTACCTCAGCATCCCAAGTACCTGGGATTACAGGCATGCACCACCATACCCAACTAATTTTTGGTATTTTTAGTAGAGATGGGGTTTCACCATGCTGGCCAGGCTGGTCTCGAACCCCTGACCTCAGGTGACTCGCCTGCCTCGGCCTCCCAAAGTGCTGGGATTACATATGTCAGCCACCGCGCCTGGCCCCTGGAATTCAGGTCTTCTAATGACACAGGCATCGCAATGAGTCCCCCACATCTCCTTTGACACAGCTGGACCCCTGTGGTAGGTCGCTCTTGGGTTTCTAGCTTCTCCTAGAGGCGTGAGATAGAACAACACTCTGGGCTCCATGCTGGCTTCCCTAGGACCCATCCCCGTTACCTCAGAGTCTAGCAAGGAGCCCTGTCTGACCTCGGCTCATTCTGAGCCCACACACACAACTCAGGCTCAGTCTGTTTACTCTCTGAAGCTGCTTTCTAATGCAACTCACACAGAGAGTGAGTTATAACAGTGCCAAGCCTGGGCACCTCTATGCTAGATGCCCTTTGAACACTTAACGTGCTTTGTCTCACTTACTCCTCACTCTAACCCTCTGAGGCAGGTTTTATTATTTTTCTATCTTACAGATAAGGACACTGAGGTCCATTTTTCAGCATTTCACAAAGGGAGAGCAAGTGGGATAGAGGCCCTTCCCCAGGCAGTGGGGTCTGATATTCTTATTTACACTGTTCCCATATTATGAACTTCCTTTAATTAAACACTTACTGTTAAGCACTTTTTAATTTTGCAGTGAGCTCTGTTGCCCAGGCTGGGCCAGTGATGTGGTCATAGCTCACTGTAGCTGTGAACACCTGGCCTCTAGTAGTCTTCCTGCTTCAGCCTCCTGAGTGGCTAGGACTATGGGTGCATGCCAACATGCCTGGCTACTTTTTGTGTTTATTTTGGAGATACAGGGTCATGCTCTGTTGCTCAGCCTGGTCTCAGACTCCTGGGTGCAAGCAATCCCTCCCACCTTGGCTTCTCAAAGTGTGGGATAACAGGGATGAGCCACTGTGCCCAGCCTGCTAAGCACTTTATATATGTGATTTCATCTCTTCTTTGCAGCCACCTTATGAAATTGGTGCCATCAACATTCCCATTGATGAGGAGGTTGAAGCAGAAAGAGGTGATATGACTTCAGGTGACATGACTGGCCAGTGGTGAAGCTGGGATTTGAATGGAGGCCATCACATAGTGTAGGTTAATCATGAAATCTCCATGCCTCTGTCCCTTGTCTTGGGTGGAAACATTTGGGGCAGGTGCTACACGGTTTCCCTGAGGGTGCCCAGGTGAGACTGAGACCACGTGTCCCTAGTGGAACCCAGCTGAATAATGCACCTGCAAATTGGCTTTCTCTCCTTCCCTAGCTCACCTCACCCCAGCCCCCTGCTTCTACTCCTGGGGATCACTTCCCCAAATAACCTTTGTGTTGGGCTCTAATTTGGGGAAAACCCAAGGCTAGGCAGCTAGTATTAATACTATGTCTCTATTCAAGACAATTTTTCTCAGGATCTAATAATTAAGCTTCTCCGTTCCCCAGGCACTAAGAGCCATTTTCACACATTTCCTCCTTTAATATTTTCTATAACTCTAGAAGTACATGGTTTTTATTTTCCTCTTGGTACAGATGAGGAAATGGAGTCTCAGACAAAGTCATTTGGTACCATTTGGTCATTTGGTGTAATTCACTTCACCTCCAGACTCCCTGCAATTCCTTTAATTTTTTTTTTTTTTTTGAGACAGATCTCACTCTGTAGCCCAGGCTAGAGTGCAATGGTGTGGTTTTGGCTCACTGCAGCCTTGACCTACTAGACTCAAGCAACTGTCCCTCCGCAGCCTCCTGAGTAGCTGGGACTATGGGTGCATGACACCCTGCCTGGATTTTTCTTTTTTGATAGAGATGGGGGTTTCACTATGTTGCCCAGGCTGGTCTTGAATGCTGGTCTCAAGTGATCCTCCTGCCTCACCCTTCCAAAATGCTAGGATTATAGATGTGAGCCACCCTGCCCAGCCACAATTCTTATTAAGTCACTAGAACGCGCAAATATCAGAAGCAAGGCCTTACAATGCTTAGGAATTCTCTAAATCAATGGTTCTCCAGTAAGGCAGATTTTGCCCTCTCCCCAGGGGACATTTGACAATGTCTGGAGATATACCTCGTTGTCATGACTTGGGATGGGAGTGCAGGTGCTACTGGTATGGTTTGCAGAATAAGGCCTCTTAAGGATGTCTATGTCCTAATCCTTGCAAACCGGTGCATGCGTTATGTAACATGGTAAAGGGAATTAAAGCTGCAGATGAATTAAGGCTGCCACTTGTTTCACCTTAGAATGGATAGATTATCCTGGATTATCTGTGTGGGCAAATGTAATCACAAGGGCCCTTAACCGAGGAAGAGAGAGGCAGAGGACTGGGTGCTGGGAGCTTCTAACGGAACAATCCCAGTGACTCCCCTCAGCACCAGCCCCCTCTGTGACAAGATTCCAGCAGCCAGGGCAAGCAGACCCCATATGTGTGCCAATGAATTAAGAAAAAAAAGCCAATCTTTTCCTCTAAAACCCTATGGTGGGCTGCACACTCACATAAACAGGGAATGTTTATTCACCTGTGAACAAGAGCAACAAGGATTCCATCCTTTATGTAGGTAGTGTCAGCCGAATGAATTAGTGCACAAACAATAGATTCTGAGATGAATTAGACACACTTCCTGGCATGAAGGACCACACCGCCTGGATCCAGGTACTGAGTGTCACATTGCATGTGTGACATCACAGTGCATGACAAGGAACTGCATGTAAAAAGGAAATTGAGGTAATATGGAGGCTCGGAGTGATTCTCAGATGTTTGGAAAGGGGAACCTGGGAAGGCTTCACAGAGGCGGTGATGTTGGAGATAAATCTTGGAGGACAAATTCAAAATACTCAGGGAACAAGAAAAGAAGGAACAACGTAAGCAAAGGGGATGGCACATGCAAAATCACGATTTTCAAATCCCCCAGATGGCAGGATGGAGAGGCTGAGAGTCTGTGAAAAATGGGCACAATGATATTACTTCCCTCATAGATTTATCAATGAGAAGTGTAAGAGAACCCAAGCAAAGAGTCTAGCATACACGAAGGGCTCAGGAAACATTATTGCAGAATAGTACTAGATTTACCTCTCTAATAGATCATGCAGCATAGCATGCTTACCTTAAGTTTTACGATTGTATGTCTGTGTTGGCAGGGAGTACTCCAGGCAAAGAAATGAATTAGGAATGGTCTTAGTCTATGAGACTGTAGAGTCTACATAAACAAAATAGCATGAACTGGGTAGCTTATAAAGTACAGAAATGTATGCCTTACAGTCCTGGAGGCTGGGACATTCAAGATCAATGTGCCAACAGATTCAGTGTCTGATGAGGGTCTGTTTCCTGGTTCATTGATGGCAACTTTTGACTCTGTCCTCGCATGGTGGAAGGGACAAGAGATTTCTCTGGGGCCTCTTTTTTATAAGGCCACTAATACCATTCATGAGGGCTCTATGACCTAATCACCTTCCAAAAGGCTCCATCTCCTAATGCCACAGACTGAAGGCGATACTGTTGGCTTCCTTACTTTTGACGTTTTGGGACTCACACTGGCTTCCTTGCTCCTCAGCTTGCAGACAGCCTATTGTGGGACTTCACCTGGTGATCACATGAGTCAATGCTCCTTAATAAACTCCCTTTCATGTATACATCTATCCTATTAGTCCTGTCCCTCTAGAGAACCCTAATACAATTGACATAATATTAAAGATCTTCCTCCTCTTTCAATTTTGCATGAAATTTTATTTCTTTGCATTAAGAGGTTTTCCACTCTATTTGATGCTAGAAATTCCCCATGAATTGCAGAGATAGTTAGGGCCAAGAGGTGTTTCTTAGAACCTCCTAAGCCAGTTTGGGTTGATGGCTTGGGAGTTAGGAAGCTTTGACTCTCATTTCAACTCTGCCAATCAACATGTCCTGTGACCTTGACATGCCACTGCCTCTCTTGGGCCTCTATCCTAATCTAAAACCCTCATTTAGTAGATGAGAATATATAGTTTTTCTGAAAGTGTGGTATGCTTAGCACTGGAGGCATCATGAAGCATAAAAAAACACAACAAAGGAAAAGGATTTTATTAAAAAGGTTATCTTTTGTTTGTGTCTGATACTGGTTTTCAATTTCATGGTGTATGAATTTGCTAGGGCTGATGTCACAAAGTATTGCAGATGGGGTGGCTTAAATAACAGAAATTAATTTTCTCATGATTCTGGAGGCTAGAAGTATGAGATCAAGGTATTGGCGAGGGTGATTCTTTGAGGTCCCTTCTCCTTGACTTGTAGATGGCCATCTTCAAGTTCATATGACATTCTCCCTTTATGAATGTCTGTGTCCTAATCTCCTCTTCTTATAAGGAAACCAGTCCTATTGGATTAAGAACCATCCCAATAATCCCATTTAACTTATTAACCTCTTTAAAGACCCTTCCTCCAAATATAGTCATATTCTGAAATACTGGGGATTAGAACTTCAAAATATGAATTTTGAGGGGTCTCAAATTAGCTCATAAGACATGGTATTTATATGTAGATAAAATTTGTTTCAAAATATGGCAAAAATATAAGTCAATTTAAAGGAAGAAACTTTTAATAATACATTCATATAGCAAAATTATGAAAGTGGTACAAAAATGGCAATTTCTCTTATCTATTGATGGGTAACGAGCTGTCTCAACATTTGGTGGCTTAAAACAGCCATTTTATTTTGCGCATGGTTTTGTGGGACAGGAATTCAGGAAGGGCTCAGTGGGTAATTTCTGTTTGATTCACTTGGGGTCCACTAGGGCAACAGGATCCACTTCCAAGATGGCGTCTTCACTCACATATCTGGAACCTCGGTGCTCCTTGTCCTTCACGCTCCATTTGGTGCCTTATTTTCCAGGCCCTCTTCCCTCAGGTAGCCTGGGCTTTCTCACAGCATGGTGGCATCAGGGTTGTAGGATTTCTTACAAGGCACTGACTTGTAGAAAGTTTTCAGGAGCTCCGAATGAGGAGATTCAAGGGCTCTGACGACCAACCGTCGGCTGTCCCAGTACGTCACTTCTTCCACATTCTAATGGTCAGAGTAGTCACTAAGGCCAGTCCAGGTTCGCGGAAGGAAAATTAGATTCCACGTCTCTATGGGAGGACTAGCCACACTAAGCCACTGCGCTGGTTTAGAACTGTCTGAAGTCCCTCCTAGAGGTCGTGTGTTTGATTCTGCATCTCCGTGATTTGTGAATCTTGCATCATTTAAATTCAGCCTTACACACTGATGCCTTTGGTGCCGTCCCAATATTTAGGTAGCAAACTCGTAGTGGGTAGAGATTCAGGCTTAAGCTTCCAGCCTGGCTCTGAGGAGAACTGTCTGGGGCTCCCTGCCCTCTTCCCCATGGATGAGACTCTTCCCAGCCTTGGGCAAACACAGCGGGGAGCTGGCACCATCTCCCGCTAGACACCTCCTCCTTTTCCTCTTGCCCTTACCATGACTCCCGAGTTATTCTCAGAAGTAAAAGCTTTCCACGCCTGCTCTTCTCTCCTGCAGCCAGGAGTGCAAATTTAGATATTGGAGCTGCTCAGGCAGAAAAATGGCCCTGGAATCAGGGAAGCAGAAACCTGCAGCTGCCACGAAAGGACCGCGGAGATGAAGACCCGGAAGCTTGCATGTGTTGAAGCCCGGGGTGTGGGGGACTGTGGTCACGTACTCGAGGGGGCTTCAGAGACCTCTGGGAAGCCCTTTCTGCCCACTCGAAGCCTGCCCCTGTGCCTGACAATCTTCCATCGGGAGCGATGTCATAAAGAAGAAATGGAATTCAGTGGGAAGAGTGGTGGACTCGGGGACAAAAGATCTGGGTTTGCGCCCTGGCTCTGACCTAACTCACCAGCATTATTGGAGGCACGTTAGGTAGGTGCTTGTCAGAGTCCTGCGTTCTAGGTGCTTTACAGGTGTCCACTTACTGGATCTTCATAACACACCTATGAAGCAGGGAGTGTCATCTCTATTTCACAGCTGAAGAATCTGAAGCTAAGTGTCATGTTTGTGTGTGGAGTGAGAGAGGGACGCCGAGAGAGGGAGAGTGAGAGGGAGAGAGGGAGAGTGAGAAGGAGAGAGAGAGAGGGAGAGGGAGAGAGAGAGAGTGAGAGGGAGACAGAGAGAGAGGGGGTGGGGCAGTGGATAGGGGGAGGGAGGAGGAGAGGAGGAGGGAGGAGGATAGGGGGAGGGAGGAGGAGAGGGGAAGGAGAGGGGGAGGGAGGAGGAGAGGGGGAGGGAGGAGGAGAGGGGGAGGGAGGAGGAGAGGGGGAGGGAGGAGGAGAGGGGGAGGGAGGAGGAGAGGGGGAGGGAGGAGGAGAGAGAGGAGAGAGGAGAGAGGAGTGATGGGGGAGAGGAGTGATGGGGGAGAGAAAGAGTGATGCGGGAGAGAGGGAGAGGGAGGAGGGAGAGGGAGAGGGAGGAGGGAGAAGGAGGAGGGAGAGGGAGAGGGAGGTGGGAGAGACAGAGAGACGGAGAGAGGGAGAGACAAAGGAGGGAGAGACGGAGGAGGGAGAGAGGGAGGAGGGAGGAGAGGGAGGAGGGAGAGGGAGGAGGGAGGAGGGAGAGGGGAAGAGGGAGAGGGGAAGAGGGAGATGGAGTGATGGGAGGGGGGAAGAGGGAGATAAAGGGAGTGGGGGAAGGGGGGAGAGGGAGATGGAGAGAGGGGAGGGGGATGGGGAGGGAGGGAGGTGGGGGAGGGGGATGGGGAGGGAGGGGGACATTTCAAACTTGAGTGGTGCACCTAGTGATGGAACACAATTGAATCATTCAGGTGGGGAAACAGGCCCCCAAAGAGGGGCTTTCTTCCACAATAGTTTGATAACTATTTTAAAATATTATTTTCTAGAACAATGTTTTTCTCCAGAGGAAAAATAAGGCATTTAGGTTTATAAACTTGGACAGTACAAATAAGAATAAAGAAGGTCAAAAATTACCTTTATTGATCTTGCCATTCAGGTAAAACCATAGCACATTACTTCAATGTATGACAGGAATGATGTAAAATGCAGATTTTTTTTTTTTTTTTTTGAGATGGAGTCTTGCTCTGTCAACTAGGCTGGAGTGCAGTGATGCAATATTGGCTCACTGCAACCTCTGCATCCCAGGTTCAAGCAATTCTCCTGCCTCAGCCTCTGGAGTAGCTGGGATTACAGGCACGCACCACCACGCCCGGATAATTTTTGTGTTTTAGTAGAGATGGGGTTTCCCTATGTTGGCCAGGCTGGTCTTGAACTCCTGACCTCAAGTGACCCACCCACCTCAGCCTCCCAAAGTGCTGGAATTATAGGCATGAGTCACTGTGCCTGGTCAAATGCAGATGTTTTAAATAAAAAGACAGATCATGTCTTACGTGATTGTTTCCCATCTGCTTTTTAATGAACCTTTGAACATTTCCTTTCCAAATCAATGTTCTGTGACATTGGTTTAAATGGCTTCTTATATATATGTAATATATATATACATATATATATTCATTATATAAATCAATTTAGTCAATCTTTTGTTTTTGGACATTTGTGTTGTTTTAAATTTATCTTACCAATGTTGAGATGAAATAAGTCAGTTGCTTCCTTCCAATCTTCCCTCCCCTTCCCCCCTGGGGATCAGTTGGCTTTCTGTCTGAATGGTTTTCAGGTGAGACAACATTTTGCCACAAGGGGTCCTCCACACTCTTTAAGCAGAAGAAACTGTTTGCCCACGTTGAAAGGGATTTGGAGCAAGAGAAACTCTGGTTTGCATCCCAGCGTTGCCACTTGCTCTCCCTGAGACCTTGGACAAGTGATTGGGCCTCTCTGCACCTCAGCTTTCCCTGGGGAGAACCATCATTTACCCACCTTATCTCATTTTCATAACAATCTTGCAAGAAAAGTGCACAGCACAGTGCCTGGTGGGCGCTCAGGAAGTAAAGGTTTTTCATCTTATTAGTTCTACTCCAGCTCCTTCCTGGAAAAGTGAAATTTACAATAGCTCATGGGGTGGTGGGAGAATTAAATGAGATCACACATGTAACGTACCTAGCCAATAGTTTTAGTTGATTGGATTTGAGACCTGGTCTCACTGTTGCCCAGGCTGGAGTGCAGTGGCATGATCACAGCCCACTGCAGCCTCCACCTCCTGAGCTCAAGTGATCCTCTCTCCTCAGCCTCTCAAGTAGCTGGGACTACAAGTTACACACCTGTAGTCCCACCATGCTCCACTAATTTTTTTTTCTTGGTAAAGATGGGTTTTCTCCATGTTGCCCCGGCTGGAACTGTTAACTTTAAAAATTATTACTACATAATATTTTTATTATACAGAAAGCGGTAAGAGATAAATTAGGCTAAACCTTTGACAGGAGGTCAGAAGGGACAGTGACTTCTCTTTGGGCCTGGAAGTTGACTCTTCCACCCCAACCCCGACTTCAGCACACTTCCCAATGTTATCAGCAAAGCAAGTCCTGAATGGGACTGCCAGAGATGCCCAACTCCAAGAGCAGCTATTCACATAGACTCCTAAGAACGCAATAGAAATGGCACTCCTCACAGGCACGCGGCAAAATGGCCCAGCTCCTCATCCATTCTCTCAGAGGACCAAGTACCAACTCCTGCAGCACAGAAATCCCTTTCAACAGTTCTAGCCCATATGGTCTTTTCTTGAAGAAATTCATCCAAGTGGCCCTAAATTTTACAGACACTTCCCATCTGACATCAGCTCTGCAAGGGGTAGCAATAGAGTGACACTTTTCCAGCCTCCCTGTCAATCATGGTGGCTGTGTTGGGAGACTTAGTTATCTGCAGAGCAAGGATTTAAAACCAGGTCCAGTCTGAGTTCAGCACCAGAGCTCTTATCTAGTATTCGAAGGACAAATTACTGACAAGAGTACATGCTTAATATTGGCTCTGTTCATATGTGTGAGAATATATACAGAAAATAGTATATAACATAGATAAGAGAATATGAGTCCATATACATCTTTTTTAGCATTTTTGCTTTTATTTGACATAACTGCACATATTTATAGGGTACAGTGATATTACAATAGTTATGCAATGTATAATGATCAAATCAGGGTAATTGACATAAAAATCACCTTAAACATTGATCATTTCTTTGTGTTGGGAACATTCAAAATCTGCCCTTCTGGCTATTTGAAAATATACAACAAATTACTATCACAGTCACCTACAATGCTATAAAACACTGGAGCTCATTCCTCCTAGCTAGCTGTAACTTCGTATCCATTCACCTACCTTGGGCTATCTCCACCTGCACCCCTGACCCTTCCCATCCTCCAGTAACCACTATTCTACTCTACAAGATCAACTTTTAGTTCCCACATGACAACATGCAACATGCAGTATGTCTTTTCATGCATATGATCTTTTAGTTATAACCACTCTGAGAGGTACCGTTATGCCCATTTCACAGAAGAGCAAACTAAGGCCTGGAGATGACAGGTGACTTATTTCAGAGTCCATGCTCTTAGCTGTAAGCTCTGCTATGTAAGCGCTCAGCCATGGTGGCTGTTATCATGGGAGGCTCTGAAGGAACTCTAAATAGGCAGCCACGGGGGTCCTCCGCTTGGATGCCTTTTAACTGATCTTCTGCCAGGTGGGGGCACGGAGCTGGGTTATCTCACCATGGCCTTTCAACCTCTCAGAGAACCGGGGTCAGGGCAGGGGCAGCAGGCCTGCTGAGAGCTGGTGGGCTGAGCAGCGTGGGCTGTGTCAATGTGAGATGTCCCAGGAGGACCAAGGAGGTGAGGCCCTGCAATCCACATGCCTGCCCAGGAGAACAGGAGGGAAGAGGGAAGCTGGAGGCTAGGAATGAGGCTTGCTCCACCTTCCTGCTTCAACCAGCAGCTCCCAACATTTCAGTTTTAAAGTTTACCTTTGTAACTTATTCAATATTACAAAGCTGTATCTTTAAGGAAAAGTAATGCAGAGAGCTATACTGTCCAATCACTCAGGACTAACCAGTCATCATCTTTTGATGTATTACTTCCCCCACTTTTCTCCATTCTTATGTAAACATGCATACATGTAGGATTTACCCACTTTGGCAAAAGTGAGATTGCCGGCCAGTCACGGTGGCTCACATCTATAATCTCAGCAATTTGGGAGGCTGAGGTGGATCACTTGAGCCCGGGAGGTTGAGGCTGCAGTGAGCTATGATCACACCACTGCACTACAGCCTGGGTGAGAGAAACCCTGTCTCAAAAAAAAGAGGGGGGAATTTGCACTGTATTGTTATTCTGCAGTGTGTGTTTTTTGCTAATACATCCCGGACACATTTTCAACATAGAATTCATGGGTCTCTTTTTAACAGTCGCATGGTATTCCACACCAAGGGTGTCCAATCTTTTGGCTTCCCTTGGCCATATTGGAAGAATGGTCTTGGGCCACACATAAAATAAAATACGCTATCGATAGCTGATGAGCTAAAAAAAAATCATTGTGAAAATATATTTTAAGAAAGTTTACAAATTTGTGTTGGGCCACAAAAGCCATCCTGGGGTGCTTGCAGGCCACAGGTTGGACAAGCTTGTTCCACAGTCCAGACGGATCACCACCCCCAGCCTCTTCCTTACGGATGGACGTGCAGGTCATGCCCAGTTCTTTGGATGTTATAAGATGGGCTACAGTCAACACCACTGTGTGCCTGTCGAGTACTTACTATTGTACTTACTATTGCTAGGCTAGAGTTCTGCTGGGTCAAAGGCCATGCAATTTTGGAATTTTAGAGTTCACTAGATTGCTTTCCAAAAGAATGAGCAACTCACACTTCCTGATAGTTCTTTGAGAAACTCACTTCTACATAGCTTAAGTGTTGTGGGAGGGGGAGGAGGGAGGATCAATGAATTGAGTAGACAGAAGTCTTAAGTATAAAGAGTTGGCAGTTTTCATGTAACGTGCTGTCAGAAGAAAGTCCTTCTGACTGGAATATTTCATTCTCCCTTTAAAACACTGCAAACGACCACTTCATTTCACAAAAGGGAGATAGGATTTATAAGGAGACCTCCACCTGGTCCTGGGACTAGGACAATAATGACCAGAGGGACAGCCGTCTGGGGGTGGGGTAGGCTACAGCACACGTTGCAATAGATTGATGGTCACAAGAGATGAAAGCAATGAAACTTCCCAGGGGGCATTGGAGTTGCTTTGGCCTCACCCACAGAGACAGAAGTGTCTGGGACTTTATGTTCTAGGGCAGCCCCCCATGCAGTGACTGACTGGTGGGGACAATAGAAGCTCAGGTCCCTTGCTGGGAATCAAGACCTATTAAGAGGCTACACTGTGCCCCACAGCACCCTGCAGGATCAGGCTCAGGCTGGGATTTGCCTGAAATCATACCCTTGCTGGAATTCTACCCTTTCCTATCCTGCTTCCCCTCTCCCTTCCCAGTTCCTCCTGGAGACAATCCATTGATAATTCCCTGGCACACAACTCCTTGTCTCAAGGTCTGCTTCTGGGAGAACTGGAGGGATGATGACAGTGTCAGGAATGCTCTCTTTAGGGGAGACACCTTCATTCAGCAGTCATTCAACAGAAGAGTCAAGGGAACCTCAAACTCCCCTCTACAGCTGCAGGGGAATCAGCTTCCCAAAGGGGTTTTCCATTGGGGAACAGGAACCTTAGATGCAAGGGGATGAGAATGGGGAGCATACAGGTTCTAAGCAGCAGCCTGAAGAGATAGTTACCACCCACCCACCATTTACTAGCTCTACAATCATGCAAAACCTTATTCTCTATAACCTGCAATTTCCCACCTTAAAAATAGAATAAGCAGCACCTGTCATGAAGAATTAAGAATGCACTTCGTACTTGTTTCTATGGTGTGTGCTTTGGCAGAAGATGTGGGATCAGATCATTCCATCATTCACTGTCCCCAAGTGGGGACAACTTCACCCCCTCAGGACTGTCATGAAGATTACTCAGAGGATCAGGTTCACAGCCTTGCAGAGAGTAGGTGCCCAGATGAGCCATCACCCACGCTCAGAATCATAACAGTAGAAGTACCCTAGATGCTGGACCAGGAGAGAAATAGACAATTTGTTTAAAAATTCAGTAAGAGCATTTTCATTATGCAAATAATTACATAATTGAAATGTATAAAGGGCAAAGAAATAAAGCCAAAGTATCTCTTGACTCTTCCCCAAAGACTGTCACCAGTTCTCCAGTTTTTTTCAATGCATTTTTATATTTCAAATATATACACCTAGACAGCCTCAGAGGCATGATTTTTGAAAGAGGATCATTTTCAAAATATTTAGAATTACAGGTATTTTTAATGTAGTGCATCTCAGAATAGGGTGAACATTTCCAGCTTCAGTGTATCTGGCTTAGTTAGCATGCTCCTCTTGTAGGATACCATTCAGTGTTTATTTAATCACTCCTTGATGGACACGTAGGTGGCTGCCAACTCTCCCTATTAGTCATCCTGCACATAAACATCTTTGTGCTTGTTTTGTGCATGTGTAGGTTTTTATGTGATGCATCTGTCAACTTCCCAAAGAAACTACTGGAGAAAAACCCTACATTAAAGTTCAGACTCATTGCAGTAAAGGAGAACCCCTGATAGTTTGAGGTATCTCACAATGGGGAATAGGGCAGGGTATTTGTGAGGTCTAAGGCTTGGGCTAATTTTTAGGGTGGGCCTTGACTAGGATTGGGCAAGCCTTCTGACATGGCTCTGGCCCAGTAAGGAGGGGAGTTGAGGGAAATCTTGATGAACAAGTTGTTAGTCTTGATTAGTCATCTAGCTTCATCTTTTAGGGGCAGGTAAATACCTAAGCCAAGGAAAAAACATTTGAGCTGCTTGTTTCAAGATATATCAGGGACAGACAGTGATGTTAATTTCAATTGTCAATGCCTACGAGTTTCCAGGTTAAAAGTTATGACTTTAGAATTGTCAGCAGATAGCAATAAAAAGACCAATGTTTAATTCGTTTTTATTAAGATCCTTCACAGAAAGCACATACTCACTGACTGTACCTATGGCAGCCCAGTCCCACTGCATCTTCCCACCAGATGCCATGGATTAGCACAGAATTATTTTGGAGAAGAGTTGGCAGGAGATAGTAAAATATAAAACAATGCAGTAATACAATAATTCCTTCCGGTCATTTTAGATACTCTCATAAGATCCCCGTTGGTACAGTACAGCTTCCCAGTTATACCCTAACCTATGTAAGGCTAATTATTCAAAAAGTTTTCAGAAAATTTTAGATTTACAAAAGCATCCCAAAGACAAGAGTTTCCATACTCCTCACACTTTCAATCGAACATCTTCCAAGACCACAGGACATTCATCAAAACTAAGAAACCAACCTCAGGACTTTACTGTGAATCCTGGACTTTATTCAGATTTCACAACTTTACTGCAGTGCCTTTCTCTGTTGTGAGATCTTCTTTGGGATTCTACATTGTGTTTGGTTCTCATGTATTAATATCTTAGTTTCTTCCAGTCTTCTCAGGTCAAAGCTTCCATCTCTCCCTGTTTCATGAACTTAACTTCTGAGGAGTACTGGTCAGGTGTTCTGTAGGATGTCCACCTGCTGTTGGTCTGATGCTTTTCACATGAGGATTCTGGGGTGATGCTTCCCAAGAAGAAGACCTGAGGTGAAGCATCTTTCTCGTCTCCCAGCCTCCTGCCTCCCAAATGGTATTGACCTTGATCACTCAGCTAAGGTGGCAGCTGCCAGATTGCTCCATTGTAGAGCTATAATTTTCATCCTTTTCTTATTTTTAGGGAGGTGGGGAGGAGAGAAAAGGAATATTAAGCTCCACCTCCTGGATGGGGTTGTATTGACTTATGTTATTTGGGTTTCTTCTGTAAGGAAGATTTGTCTCTTTCCCCCCTTAATTCCTTTGGTAAAAATAATTTCTCAACATCTGCTAAATAGCTTTCTCCAAGATGGATGAAGACATGCTCCATCAATTGGTACTTGCCTCAAAGTCGAGTTTTATTCAAGTTAAACTGAAGTCACTGCAAATTCAAGCAAGATCCCAATATCGACTAAGTTCCTTCTCAGAAGTCCTCCCCCAGGGTCAGGCAGAGGGGGAACTGGGTGGTGTTTCAGATGTGGCTTTTCAAGCTGTGGCCAGATTGGCAGCATCAGCATCACCTGGTAGGTTACAAATGCAGCAACTCAGGCCCCACTTGGACCTCCTGAGTCAGACTCTGCATTTTAACATGACTGTGACTTGTGTGCATGTCTATAGTTTGACAAGTGCTGTCTTAGAACCCTAGAGCCTCTGGGAACAGAGACAAGAAGGCGATCTTCTCCAAGCAGGGTGATCTCTGTTGCCAGCGTACCTGCCTTGGTTCACCCCTCCTGCATTTGTCCAGGTGGAAGATGATTAGGAAGGGCAGAGGAGAGGCAGGAACAGCAGATGGCTCTGAGACGAGCCTGGGGCTGGAGGGTTGAGTGAGGTGGGCAAAGAAGGGGAGAGTGCTGGCATAGCTGATGGATGACTGTGGTACCTGAGATGGCCCTGGGGAGTTGGATGAGAGCAGGGCCAGAGTGATTGATGGGCTGGGGTGGAGAGGCTGTGGAACAGCTGTAAAGAAAAAAAGGCTCTGGGTTTGGGAGTCTGCTATGGGTGGCAGCAAAACCCAAGAGCCATGAGAGAGAAAGTCCTCTTTCTGCAGCAGTGCTCACAAAGTCGAGTCTTGCTCTGTTGCCTAGGCTGGAGTGCAGTGGCATGATCTCAGCTCACTGCAACCTCCACCTCCCAGGTTCTAAGTAATTCTCCTTCCTCAGGCTCCCTAGTAGCTGGGATTATGGGCACATGCCACCACACCTGGCTAATTTTTGTATTTTTAGTAGAGACAGGGTTTCACCATATTGGCCAAAGCTGGTCTCAAACTCTTGACTTCAAATGATCCACCTGCCTTGGCCTCCCAAAGTGCTGGGATTATAGGCATAAGCCACTGTGCCCAGCCTCGATTCTCTTTAGAAGGTATTCTTTTATGGCATCAAGTACATTCACATGTTTATACAACCATCACCATCCAACTCCAAAACCATTTTCATCTTGCAAAACTGAAATTCTGTACCCATTAAGTACTAACTCCCCGTTCTCCCTCCCCCCTCATCCCTGGAAACCACCATTCTTTCTCTGAACTTGGCTACTCTAGGTGCCTCATGAGTGGAATTATACAGTCTCCAGCCTTCCGTGATCTTTCCAGCTTCATAACTGCCTTCTGACATGGATGAAGCAGGAAATGTTACTGCCTCAGGGAGATGAGGGGAGGGAGGGAGGGTTATGGGGGAAGTGACTTGCCCTGGGTCTCACATCTAGTGAGTATATAGCACACTCAATAGATTCAGGAAGCCCAGAGTCCTTCCTGGGTCTGCTGCTGTGTTAGGTCATTCTTGCATTGCTATAAAGAAATATCTGATACGGCTGACTCTCTTTTCAGACTCAGCCCGCCTGCACCCAGGTGAAATAAACAGCCTTGTTGCTCACACAAAGCCTGTTTGGTGGTCTCTTCACACGGACGTGAGTGAAATTTGGTGCCGTGACTCAGATCAGGGGACCTCCCTTGGGAGATCAATCCCCTGTCCTCCTGCTCTTTGCTCCATGAGAAAGATCCACCTACAACCTCAGGTCCTCAGACCGACCAGCCCAAGGAACATCTCACCAATTTCAAATCTGGACCCCACTGAAAATTGGACTGTTCAACTCACCCAGCAGCCACTTCCAGAGCCCCTGGAACTCTGGCCCAAGGCTCTCTGACTGACTCCTTACCAGATCTTCTTGGCTTAGCGGCTGAAGACTGATGCTGCCCGATCACCTCGGAAGTCCCCTAGACCATCATGGATGCCGATCTTCAGACAGGAATGTCAGGCCTCTGAGCCCAAGCTAAGCCATCATATCCCCTGTGACCTGCACGTACACATCCAAATGGCTGGTTCCTGCCTTAACTGATGACATTCCACCACAAAAGAAGTGAAAATGGCCTGTTCCTGCCTTAACTGATGACATTATCTTGTGAAATTCCTTCTCCTGGCTCATCCTGGCTCAAAAGCTCCCCTACTGAGCACCTTGTGACCCCCACTCCTGCCAGCCAGAGAACAAACCCCTTTGACTATAATTTTCCTTTACCTACCCAAATCCTATAAAACGGCCCCACCTCTATCTCCCTTTGCTGACTCTCTTTTCAGACTCAGCCCACCTGCACCCAGGTGAAATAAACAGCTTTGTTGCTCAAAAAAAAAAAAAAAAAAAAAAAAAAAAGAGAAATATCTGATACTGGGTAATCGATAAGGAAAGGGTTTAATTGGCTCACAGTTCTACAGGCTGTACAGGAAACGTAATAGCTTCGGCTTCTGTAGAGGCCTCAGGAAGCTTCCAATCATGGCAGAAGGCAAAGGGGGTAGCAGGCATCTTACATGGCAGGAGCAGGAGCAAGGGAGGGTGCTACATACTTTTAAACAACCAGATCAAGAACTCACCATCACAAGAACAGCACCAAGGGGAAATCCACCCCCGTAATTCAATCACCTCCCATCAGGCCCCACCTCCAACACAGGATTACAATTGAACATGAGATTTGGGAGGGTCACAGATACAAACCATATCAGCTGTGGAACATTCTGTTCCACCTACCCTCAACCCCCTTTTCCTCGGTGGTGTGTTGAAAAGAGGGCTTGGGCTGGAAACAAAAGGAATGGGATTTAAGGGCTCACATAGGTGGTGGAGGGGACCATCTCTGAGATTAAGATCCAGACAGGGGAATGAAAGATTAAAACTTTGAAATATCCCTAGCACCTGCCTTGGGACCTATAATAAAAAGATGCTTGGTCATTTGAGTGAATAAACTGGACTATTTTCTTCTTAATTTCAACTATTGATAAGAAAGAGTTTGCTAAGGCAAGAAGGGGATTCTGTTACAGTAAGATTTATAATAGAAATTTGGTGGCTGATATGGTTTGGTGTCTCCACCCAACTCTCCCAAATTGGAGGAGGGGCCTGGTGAGAGGTGACTGGATCATAGGGGTGAATTTCCTTCTTGCTATTCTCATGATAGTGAGTTCTCATGAGATGTGATGGTTTAAAGTGTGTGGCACTTCTCAATTCACACATTCTTTCTCCTGCTTTACACCATAGTAAGACATGCTTGCTTCACCTTCCGCCATGACTAAGTTTCCTGAGGCCTCCCAATCATGCCTATTAAACCTGCAGAACTGTGAGTCAATTAAACCACTTTTCTTCATAAATTACCCAGTCTCAGGTAGTTCTTTATAGCAGTGTGAGAACAGACTAATACAGTGGTTTTAGTAAAGATATTCAGTGCAAGTCTAGAAGGCATTCTTGGCCCTGAGCACCCAGGATTGTATAAGTGCATTACAAAATAGGTGTTTGGGTTAACCTTGTTATGCCTTGTGACTGTTTCATATTTACCTTTTTAAATAGAACCTCTGAAATGTACCTCAGAGGCAGTGTCAGTTGGGGACTTTTATCCTGTGCTCTGATCAAGACACTGTACATTAATTGCCAATCACACGCTTGTCTTTAAAGATGGGAATATTTAATTTCTTCCTACTTCTTTCCTCTAAAAGGCTTATTTTTCTAATCAAAATGCTTTTCTACCAGACCAGAGATTGGTAATTTTTCTGTAAAGGGTTAGATGTTAAATATTTTAGGCTTTGGGAGCCATATAATCCTTATTATGAGGACTCATTTCTGCTATTTTATTATGAAAGCAGCCACAGACAATATACAAATAGACAAGCATGGCTGGGTTCTAATAAAACTTTATAGAAGCCGGGTGCAGTGGCTCATGCCTGTAATCCCAGCACTTTGGGAGGCTGAGGCAGGCTGATCACTTGAGCTCAGGAGTTCCAGACCAGACTGGGCAACATGGTGAAACCCCGCTTCCACAAAAAAATTAGCTGGTCATGGTGGCACGTACCTGTTTTTCCAGCTACTTTCAGGGGCTGAGGTGGGAGGATCGCTTGAGCCCAGGAGGTCAAGGCTGCAGTGAGCCAAGATCACGCCCTTGCACTCCAGCCTGGGTGATAAAGTGAGACCCTGTGTCAAAACAACAACAACAAAAAACAAAACCCCAAAAACCCAGCTTTATAGAAACAGGTGGCAGGCCAGATCTGGCCCATGAGCTATAGTTGCTGACTCTTGCTCCAGATCATAAACTGCTTTATATTGGTCTACAGATCCCCAGGGTTTAAAATCAAGTAGGGATTCCAATCTCTGGAATCATGAAACATATTCTACTTTTGTTTACTAGTTGCCTTGAAAACTGCTTGATATGAATGACTGCAAGATCTGCTGTTAGTCCCCAGAGCTGCCTTTTACTTCTTTGGAGAAGCTGGGACTGAGGTAGGGACTGATGCAATGGCTTCCCCTCCTTTTATGACTTCCAGGGGAGCCCTGCTACTGGAAGGCCCAGCAGGAAGTCAGAGGTAGGAGAGAGAGGTCAGGGTATTTAGCCTCAGCCCAGCCTTCTCTTGCTGGCTGGGCCACTGGTTGGCCAGTAGCTGCTCCTCCACTGTCAGGCAGCCCTTTCCATATGGCTCTTTCCTCTATGTTCAGGGAACTGCACCCCACCCCTTTCCCCTTCATAAGTAGGGATGCAGTTTGCCAGCCCCAGGACAATTCTCTGCTTCCTTTTAGTGTCCCTGCTTACTCCCTTTCCACACCTTTGAGATGAGTTTAATGAAGGGATTTTATTTGAATATTCCATCTGCTTTCTGCTGGGACGCTGAATGCTAGGAATTAAACAGAAAACCCAGGCCATGCATTAAAGACTTCATACAGCTGACTCATAGGTGGGGATGAAGGAGCTGATGCATCTCAGGCTCTAAGATTCTCCCCAGTGGTCCCTGTTTCCTGGTGTTTGGGGCCCTTGTCAACCTTCTTTCTCCTCCTTGAGTATGAGTAGAACCTGTGACTTGCTCCTAGCTGGGAGTGGCAAAAGGGATAGGATGTCACTTCTATGGTTCTAACAACTGTCTTGCTAGCAAACCCCTCTCCTTGCTGTCTTTGATGAAGCAAGTTGCCATGTTGAGGTGGCCCACATGGCAAAGAACTAAGGGCAGCCTTCAGCCAACAGCAAGAAGCTGAGGTCCTCAATCCTACAACCTGCAAAAAACCAACACTTGCCAGTGATCACAGGGGCTTGGAAGTGGGTCCTTCCAGGGAACTTCTGGCAGACACCTTGATTGCAGCCTCATGAGACCCTGGTTCAAGAGGATTCAGTCTAGTGATATGCTGACCTGACTTACAGAAACTGAGAAAATAAATGTGCTGTTTTCAACTGAGTTTGTGGCAATCCATTAAGCAGCAATAGGCAACTATATGGCATAGTAATTGCCTCTCTTTCACAGATGAGGAAAATAGGGTTTGGAAACATGGACTAAGTTGCCCGAGAGACACAGCTAGGAACCTGCAGAACATGATCCCAGGGGTAACAGCCCTGGAGCTCACTGCCTCTCTCCTGTGTTTGTAGATTTCTATCAAGCAGATGTCATCTTGGGGCTCACTGTCCTTGGTGAATGACTTACATCTGAGCTTCTTCCTGCTCTACCCAGTACCTCCTGGGGAGCAGCAGGGGCCAGGGTTTGTAAGACAGCGTTCAGCTGTCAGCACTGGCATTTGTCAAAGGAAGTGGCTGCTCTTGGGCCCTGCCACCCTTCCCAAAGTGGACACTGCTTTTGAAAAGTGCTAATGTACAAACTTGTCAGGCCCAGCCTTCGGGGAGGGGAGGGCTGCAGCAGGGCTCTGGTGCTGGGGGACTGATAAGAGGCAGCACTGCTACAGGAGGCTGGGCATCTTTCCGTTGCTCACTTCTTTCTCCAAAGTACTCTTTGGCTGGGAGGTGGGTGAGAGCTGGGTCAGGGAGAACAGAGACCACTTCTTCAGATCTTTCTATTCTTAAGACCCAGAGCCAAACCAGTGAGGTTCTGGGTGGGAGAAGGGAGAGACACCTCTCTCTCTAGTGGAGACCAGTGTTAAGGGAATGAAAGTGCAGAGTTCATCTGCTAGATGATTACTTTATGTTACAGGGTAGGGGAAGAATGGGGCTTCATTCGAGCTACTGGAAGAATTAGGACCAAAATTTGAGAAGCATGCCCCTTTGAAAGCAAGCACATAAGTAGTTGGCTGCCTGGTTAAGTGTCAGGATGTTCCCAGGTCTTGTTTTATATTATTGTTCATCTCCACTTATTACAGAGATAGGCAATTCCAGATTAAAAACATACATAAGTAGCCTCTAATCAACAAAGGGGCAGTAGTTTTGTTGCCTAGAAACTGGAGGTACAATGGTGAACAAAACACCACGCCTGCTTGAGTGAATAAGTGGCTTCAACCATCTAATATTTAAACAACTACCAAGTGGCAGGCACCATGCTGGGCTCAAGGATACGGTGAAAAGACAGTCCTTGCATTTTTGAACTTACATCCTAGTGAGGGGAAAAATAAAATTACTGCATAACAAAGTACCCCAAAACTTGGTAACTTGAGACAACAATGATTGCTCATTTCTCATATTGCAGGTTGCGTATTTGGGCAGGGCTCAGCTGTGTGGTTCTTCTACCCTATGTCACCTGGAGTTAATGCATGCTTACATTTAGCTGGTGATTCAGATGGAACACTACGATGGCCTCTCACCCCCCAGGGTCTCTCTGTATGTGGCCTCTCATCATTGAGCGGTTCAGCTTGGACTTCCTTACAGCATGGCATCTGGGCTGCAAGAAGGGAAAGATGCAGCTGCAAACCTTAAGGGCTGAAGTCTCAAGACATCACCTCCACTACAATCTATTGGCTAAAGCAAATCCCAGGGCCAGTCCAGACTCAGGAGTAGGAGAAAATATTAATAACGCCTCTTGCTATGAAGAGTGGCAAGTGTATACAGGGAGGAGAGGAAGTGCCGGTGGCCATTTTTGGAAACCATTAACATATAATTGCAGATAGTGATACACTCAGCAATGAATATTAAGCCTAGTAAAGGGAAAGTCTAGAAGGTGAGTGAGCAATGCTGTTCAATTGAGGTATAGGTATGCTTTGAAGTTTTGGTAGAAATTGATATTTTGAAATGACATATTATGATTATTCAAGTATTAAATAATAAAAGTATTATCCTCATTTTACACATGAGGAAATTGAGAGGGAGGCAAATGACTTAAGATGACACAGCTAAGCTGGTAGTGGAGCTGGGGTTTGGAACCAGGACATGACTTCACAAGTCTCTTGTAATATTATCCCAGATGAAAATCTGACTCAATTGAGGTATTCCTTTCTTCACCAATTGACTGAAGTAGCTAAAGGGACAGACTTGTCACTACCTTTATGTGATCCCTGAACTTCTGATTTATAGGCAAAAGTTTTATTCTGATCAGATGACAGAATGAGTGAATATCTAGATTCAAAGCATCCTTTAGGTCCTAGAGAAGAGCTCCACAAGGGACAGATGAGTTAAGCCTCACATGTCCATTTCCATGGGTGAAAATTATCTGATGTTGGCCCTATTTGCAATAGCAAGCAAATGATAGTTATAGTTTAAAAATAGCCACTATACCTTGAACACACTGTCAAGATGACATGAGACTCCTGGGTCAGAGACAAAGGATTTTTGTTTTTTACTCAAAGCACAGCAAGCAGAATAAACATTGATAGTTTGAGGGTTCCCCCTTGCTGTCCAAGTTTTCCCATTCACCTGGGCACAGAGCAATCCAGGTGAATGCTACATATGTGGCAGGTTCACACCACAGCTGAGCTACCTTGAGCCTAGGGAACCAGACAAAGAACTGCAAGTAGTCCTGTCTGACCTGCCTGAGAAGCAACATTGTCTTTATTACACAGGACAACAAATGAATCTTCCCTCTGCTCTGAGGCTGTGGAGGGGGGTGGTGACAGTATTTACCAAGGCAGTTGATTATATAAACATTCTTGAAGAGGTAGTCCAGAACAAAATGTCAGTGCTTCTGCTCAGAAGACATGCAGGAATGTAAGTCGCCTATAGAGAATAGTCTCCCAACACTATGTCCCAGGCACTATTCTATGGACTTCAAGTGTTTAATTTAACCTTCACAGCAGTCCAATGAGTTAGGTACTGTTATCCCACTTTCTAGTTGAGCAAACTGACCTTGGGAGGGTCCCTTAACCTCTCTTCTCCCTAGCTAGTAAGTGCCAGACCAGGTTGGTATCCTCTACATTTGGTTTTCACAGCAATGTTCTTCACCACTGCATCACATGGTGGATAATGTAGCATCTGCTATTTATAGTCAACTTGCTAAGTATGTCATCTGAAAATTTAACAACAACCCTTTGAGGTGGCCATCAGGCTCCTTTTACAGAAGTTTTGGGTTACTGAGCAACTCATGCAAGGTCACAATAGCCAAGCTGGGATTTGAACCCAGGGCTGACTCAAGCCTTTCCTACCAAATGATGTTCTATTCTCCTTGTCCCTGCAAATCTACTGTAATAGAACTGGCAGGTGATAGAGTATCATTTGTCTTTTCTATTAAATACAAAAATAAGGCGGTGATGCCACAAGGGAGTATGAACCCACTTGTATAATATTGTGTCTCCTGCTAGACTGAATATTTCCTGATAGTAAAGTCATATCTTGCATCTTGGCCATGTACAGATTACTATCACTGAACCAGGAGCCACTAAAAGATATAGAACTTGGGGGTATCCCATTCGATTAAGGCAACTCATATACATGTATAGATTTCTGAATGTATGGGAAAAGGCAAGGAAGTCAACTCCAGTTTGGCTATTTCCATTTCCATTTTCTAAGGGCTTTCAGGAGGATTTATCTTCTGGGCCGGATCCTGCCTAGGAAAGGCTCATGCATCCTTCCTACAAAAGAGGCACTGACACTTCTGATTAAGGTAGGATAAGCTGTCACTTGTTGGTAAAGTTTCTACCAGTCTCTAACCCATTGAAGGAGAATATTTTGCTTTCTTCTCTCAGATCTTGTGGATGTGCTGTGGAAATGGAGAACCTTAACCATTGCATAGAATGGACTTGGGGCAAGTTCCTGAGCTATAAGTTACATAGCTCAGAAGTAGCAGAGCCAGGATCCAACACCTGTTTTGCCATACATCAAATGGGGACAATAGAAGTAACTGATATTAACCTAGGGCTGAAATAAGGCATGTCTGCTGCTTGGTGGTTGCAGTCACAGTCACAGGAAGTTTTAAAGGCACTGTAGCCAAGAGTTTGGCTTCCTCCTCACAGGTCTCTTGGGGTGGCCCTGTCCTCCCTCTTGTTTCCTTGGCACAGCAGGGTCTAGACCCTCTACTCAGCCATACACAGGAGCCAGGCTGCTGGAAAACATACCCCCAGCCCCAACTGCTTTGTCCAGTCTTGGGGGAGGTGGGAAATGTACACACCTAGAAGTGATGATGGTATTTCTCCTGCAGGTTCCCATGAAAAGCAGCATCCCAGTGAAGTCAAAGCCCTGGAACCATCCTCTTCATCTGTGTTGCTGCTGAGAGATCAGAAGTCTACCTCTGGAGATAGAATCCTTGTCTGCTGCTGGGATGGAGGGAAGTGCTAACATTCCACTAGAAAGTGGGTTCTTCCATGGAGGGACAGAATTTGATTCTTGCTGCTTATACAAAGTAGGTGTTCACAAGGCACTTGTGAACAGCTAGCTCTGCAGAACAAGTCTCCATCATCTCGTTGCAGGCTGCTTACCTGCTGGGAGTGGCATCCTGGGGCCTTCCTCTCTGGCCACCCTAGACTTTGGTTTTAATTGCTCCTGAGTCTCCCTTCTTCCTGCCGGCTGGCCCTGCGGTCTGTCACCTACGGGACGGCCAACGTCAGAGCTGGGTGACCTTTCAAAGACACCAGGATTTGTTTAATTTTCAGAATTCACCTCTCTTCATCCTTTTTATCAGAGGCAGTTAGGGCCCAGCTGGGGAGGCTATTTGGCATTTTTCCCT
Organism: Homo sapiens; assembly: GCF_000001405.40. Lineage (NCBI taxonomy): Eukaryota > Metazoa > Chordata > Mammalia > Primates > Hominidae > Homo > Homo sapiens. The sequence goes on from NC_000012.12 coordinate 114,030,377, forward strand.
GTATTTTGAAACAGGTGGGCTGGGGCCTTCTCAAGTGGAGTCTTTTCAACTGAGAGAACTAGAAAGACAGACAATGATAGAATGGGGTGGGGGTGGAGTAGAATTACCAAGAGAACCAAACATACATTAAGTTATTTTAACACCTGACTCATTTTCATGAAAGTCTTCATTACTGCATCTTCTGTCTCCAAGGTTTTCTACACACATAATTGCAGCTTGTGTTTACAAAGTCATTACCACATGCCAAGCACGTCACATGTCTCGCTTCATGTAACCTTCACAGCAGCACCTTGAGGTTCTGTTATCTCCGTTTTACAGGTAGGTAAGGTTAGTTATTGCCCAAAGCCATACAGTGTGTTGAGGGGCCAGAGTTTAAACACAGCTCTGTAGACTCAGTCTGTCCACGAAGCAAGAGTATGTGCAAACCTCACCTGATCCTCACAATAACCTTGGAAAAGAAATGTATCCTCCCATCTGATAGAGTCCGAGTAGTCTCAGCTGCTATAATTGTTATTCCTTCTGTGCTCAACATTTGTTGGCTGGGTGACTTGAAAGCTGAAGTGAGAAAAACAGTACCTGGAACATGGAGTAAAAACCCTTTAACATATGGGAATCTACTAAACCCCATCAGGTCAGTGAAATAGGTACTATTATCACCATTTTACAGGAGAAAAAAAGGTAAGGCTCAGGGATGTGAAGTATGTCCAAGATCAAGTGCTGATGAGTGGTGGAAGCAGATTTAAGTGATGGCCATCTGACCCCACAGCCTACATTCTTGACTGCTGCATTACCTCCCTTCCTATGCATACAGACCATGGTTGGCTGGACCAACACAGAGGTCTTTCTCTAGTGGGGTCTTCTGGGGCTTAAACAATTCTGGATGCTCAACTGCAGGTGCTATGGAACCACATTTTGGTGTTTACCTTCCTTTTCCCTTCTGCCCTGACCAATCTAGATACCTGCTAAATCCCCCAATAAAGCGTAGGGATAGTTTGAGGCTTGTACAAATGGTTTCAATTGGAAAACTTCTTTGGAATAAGTGAGTAATTGTAGCAGGCTATTGCTACCGAAGCCAGGAAGAGAAGATATTTTTCTCAAAGGGATGCTTCAACAAGGTACTTGTGCTTGGGAATGATGGGCACAGACTCATCTGCTTTTCTGATGGAGAAGAATGTGTCAAGAGAAGCCTGAGGTCTTGTCACCTAGGCCCACTCATGAGGTAGGGATGGTGTAAGGTCTTGTTCAGTGGGAAGATAGGAGAATGAAGTTCTCAGCAAGAAGCCGCCAAAGGGCATAACTTGGGAGGACAGATGAGCAAAAGTTTCCTCTTTTGGCGTCTGGTTACCTTAGCTCAGAGATGTCCAGACTTCTTATATATGACCTAGAGGGTCGTATGAACTTAAAAACACAAAAAAGTAAGACTGAGATTGATATATTTCATCTTAGCTGATTTTAGTTTTCCAGCTTGACTTTATAATTGTTCCATTTGTTTTCTCTTCATTTCATACCATTTACCATCTTACCATTATGCCATTTACCATCTTAGGTTGTGCCTTACATAAGTTTTATCTTATTCTTTTGTGATTTTTAGTTTCAGAGGCCTCATTGAATAAAATTGAAGGTGGGCAAAGGAAAAACACTTAGTGAGCATATACCATGTGCTAGGCTCTATGCTAGGTGCTGGGGATACAACCCTGCAGAAGGCAGACACCATTCATATGTTTTGCCTTTCCCATTTGCCTTGGGAAGGTTGTAAAGTACATGTCAATTACCACTGTAAGCAGCTCTAGCAAGGGAGTACGGGGTTTTCCAAGAACACATATCTAGGGGTCTCAACCTAGTCGAGGGAGTTGTTTTACACTAATTCTGTTATTTTAACCTTTTCTAGTTTTATCCATCCCTTTAATTGGCTTTATTTTATCATTTGTTTGGAATATTGTCCATTTGGAATTTTATTCCTGCTTGATGGACTGGCAGGCAGGAAATGTGGATGTGAGGGTGGCTGCCACAAGGATATTCCTCACTCTAATCATGTATTCCTTCCAGCAAACCTCAGCAACCCCCCACAACACATACACTCCTTTCAAAATGTGGCTGTGGATCCGAGTTAGAATAAAACTACCTCAACATTTATACCTTAACTCCTGGGACTAGGTTTTCCAAACATCTTTTTGGTGGGGAGATATCTTGGTGGTGGTGGGTGGGGGGCGTGCAATGTGGTGGTGGTGGGGGATGGGCAACGTGGTGGGGGTGGGGGATGGGCAACGTGGTGGGGGTTGTGGTGGTGGGGGCAACGTGGTGGTGGTGGTGGTGTGGGGGGCAACATGGTGGTGGTCGTGGGGGGTGGGCAACGTGGTGGTGGTGTGGGGGGCAACGTGGTGGGATGCTACATATTCCAAATGTCCTCATAAAAGCATCTGACTTTTGACTGCTTACCATGTGCCATGATCTGATCTTCACCACGACTCCAACAGTAAGGTGCTATTATTCCCATTTTCAGAAGGAAGAAACTGAGGCCCAGCAAGGTTGAGCAACTTACCCAAGATTAAAAGACTAGCTATTAATGGAGTTGGCACTTGACTCATGCAGTCTAATTTTAAAGTACAAGCTGTTATTTCCAGCCCCTGCATTGCCTCCCTAGATCCCTAAGCATGAGGCCAGCCTTATAATGGTCTACAGTTACAGAAGCCACAGAGCCATACCACCGTACTTTGAGAATTGAGTCAACTCCTATAGGAAGAGTTATTCTTCACCTACGGGATATGTCCTTGTGCTATACACTCTAGGGGATTCAGTTGAGGAACTGAACATTGAAGGTAACAACTTACTGAGAACAAGGTGGAAAGTAAGATCTGAATCTGCCCCCTCCCAGTGTGACTTGGGTGAGCCTCAGCTTGTTTATCCATTAAATGGGGGGTCCTATAACCTCCCCCTCAGAGACACAGTTTGAGGATCAAATGAACAGAAAAAGGGGGGTACAGGTGTGTGACTGAATGTGGGAATTTCTTTTAGGTAGACAACAGTTATGAGAGGTGTTTGTCAGCAGACATTCTCATGTACTGCTGGAGTGTCTAGCCTGCTTTGGAAATCAGGTTGATATCATTTGAGAAAAATCAATGTAAAAACCTCTGTGCTGTGTGGCACAGTAGTTCCGCCCCAAGCCCCAGGAGACAAGTCCAAGGACACCCATAGCAACATTGCTCATGATAGCCCCCAAACAGAAATCAAATTCCCAAAGTAGAAGAGACAAGTTGTGGCTTATTCATATAATACTGTAAAGACCTAATTAGAAGAATCAAACCATATAGTGTGGTAGATTCTGGAGTAGGGAAGGGCTATAATGTAGACACACTTTAAAGGTTAGCCTAACAAGAGCATGGTGACCAAGATGGATAGGGAGTCCTTGGCCTCTGGTTTCATACTAGGGAGGTAATAGACTAGACCTTTTACATAGAATTAAGGTGTTAAGCATTGAGGGGTCATTGATAGAAAAATCAATACCAGGGGCTTGACATTGACAATGTTCCCAATAAGCAGTAGCTGAGTCCAGCATCTCTCCCTGGATACCACCAACCAAATGCTTTTTACTCCAACCTGGGTAGCCCATATGAAATTGAATAAGGAAAAAATAATAAAAAGAAGTATTTGTGGAACTGGAAAAAAAGGTGTTTAAGAAATAATTGGAGAACACAATAAAACAAAACATGCTTGTATTTTAATGGATCTGGGCAAAGTAAATTGAAAATCTTCTGGAAAGGATTCATATTCTAGATGCCATTAAGACTATTCATGATTCACGAGAGGAGGTCAAAATATCAACATTGTCAGAGTTTGGAAGAAGATGATTCCATCCCAAATGGATGACTTCAAGAGGTTCAAGATTTTAGTGGAGGAAGAAACTGCAGATGCGGTAAAAATAGCAGGAGAACTAGAATTAGAAGTGGAGCCTGAAGATGTGACTGAATTGCTACATCTCATGATAAAACTTTCACAAATGATAAATTGCTTGTTACGGACAAGCACAGAAATTGCTTTCTTAAGATGGAATCTGCTTCTGGTGAAGATGCTATAAACATTATTGAAAGAATCTGCTTCTGGTGAAGATGCTATAAACATTATTGAAATGACAACAAAGAATTTAGATTATTACATAAAGTTAGTTGATAAAGCAGTGGCAAGGTTTGAGATGACTGACTCCAATTTTGTTTTTAAATTTTCTTAGTCTTTTAAAAAAGATTTTAAAATTATTATAGTTGTACATATTTGGAAGCATTTGTGATATTTTGATACTATGTAACATGTAATGATCAAATCAAGGTTATTGGTATATCCACTACCTGAAACGTTTATCTTTTGTTCTGGGAACATTACAATTATCTTCTTCTAGTTATTTGGAAATATAAAATAAATTATTGTTAACTATAAAAAAAAGAAATTGAATAAGGAGAAACTTAGACGTTGTACCAGCTCTGATGGCAGAGACCTCCCACCCATGGTCACTCTTAGTTCTGCTCCCTGGAGACACGTGGGAAGCTTGAAGGAGTTTCCAAGATGGCGGTCTTCATCTTTGATGAGCTTTTACCACCTCTCATCTCTCCTTGCTTTATCCTCAAATGGGAAGGCAATATAGTGTGATGGTTATAGCCCTTCATCTAGAGTCAAGTGGCTCAAGTTTCACATAGAACCTACGTTAGTTGTGTCATTTTGGCAAGTTATTTAACCTTGTGAAGCAGTTACTTCTGTCTCCCCTTATAGATGAGAAACCTTCAGAGAAGCTGTCATGGAGATTAAAGGTAGGGTATAATCTATTTGGCACAATGTCTGGCATGCAGCTAGGGTAAGAGTTTTTACTACAATGGCTCAAGTTATGCTACACATTAGAATTACCTGAGCAGCTTTAAAAAGCCACCCTGATGCCCTGGTCACATCTCATACAAAATCAGTGTCTGGGATTGGAAGCCAAGCATCAATACTTTAAAAAATCCGAGTGTGTAGCAACGTTTGGAAGACACTGATCATAATTTTCCCAAAGCAGGTTTTAGGTGCCTTGAGTTTTCCTGATTTGGGGCACTCAGCCACCTGCCTGCAGACTCCTATTCCTTTAGTAGCTCTGGCTTCAAATATTTCCTGCATAGGTGTGAAAGATGGACTCAGCTGCTCTGAGACTGAACTCAGCTGTTCAGTCTCCTTTGCCGCTTGGCAAATAATAATAATAATAAAAACACTGCCAGCCTTTCCTGCTGCAGTCAATGGTACCACCAAATGCTCAAACTTGGGAGGCTACCTTAACTTTTCCATGTACTATATTCAGTCAAGTTCCTTCTATAATCCTTCATTGCTGTCTGTCAAGGAGAGTGAGAGAAGCAAATGTACTCATCCAAAGCCACAGTGATCAACCATCGTCCCCCCATCTAGGCAACTTCAGTAATCTACTTCCCTTCCTGGCCTTTGTTCCCAGGTACCAGCCAGCCACATGGGTCTTTTAAATGCACAGTTCATCACTCCTGTGCCTTAGGTCCTCGAGGGCTTCCCATTGCCATCTGGATAAAGACCAAATTGCCAATCCTGTCCTAAAAGACTACAGGGCCAGCTTCTCTAGACTCATTCTTATCCCTTGAATTTCCAGCCTCTAAAGGGAGTTGCTTTTAATTCCTTGAATGCTTCAGCCTCAGGACCTTTGCACAGGTTGTTCTGGCCACTGTTATCTCTACACAGCTTTCTCTGAAGACTTTAGTTGTCACCCCATAGCTGCTGTTAAGTGCTTTCAGTGTTAACTCATTTGATACTATGAGGCAAACCTTATTACCCTAATTTTATAGGTGAGGAAACTGGACACAGACAGGTTGAGCTGCTTTCATTAAGTTAAGGGCACAGCACCAGGGAACTAAAGAGCTATAACTTGACCTTGAGTAGTCTGGTTCCAGAGCCTGAGGTCTTGGCACAACCTTGCACTGATGGATACAGAACGTCACAAGTTTTTTGCCCCTAAGTCACAACTGACTTTACCCCTAGATTCCTAGAGCCTTGCATGCAGTAGACACTTAATGGTTTCTGAATAATCTCCCAACAATGACAGAAAACCACCTCTCCCCATTCCTACATTAGCTCAGAAACCACCTCTTCTTATTCCTACATTGGCTCAAAAACCACTTCTCTGCATTCCTATGTTGGTTCAGAAACAAAACCAAGTGGAAGCCGAGGTGGTCCAAGCTCTCAGTCAAGGGTCCCCCACCCCCGGGCCACAGCCCAGTACCAGTCTGTGGCCTGTTAGGAAGTGGGCCACACAGCAGGAGGTGAGCTGTGAGTAGGTGAGCAAAGCTTCATCTGTATTTATAGCTGCTCCCCTTGGCTGGGGTTACTGCCTGAGCTCCACCTCCTCTCAGATCAGCAGTGGCATTAGATTCTCATAGGAGTGCGAACCCTATTGTGAACTGCCCACCTGGGGGATCCAGAGTGCATAATCCTTATGAGAATCTAATGCCTGATGATCTGTCACTGTCTCCCATCACCCACAGATGGGACTGTCTAGTTGACGGAAAACAAGCTCAGGGCTCCCACTGATTCTACATTATGGCGAGTTGTATAATTATTTCATTATATATTACAATTTAATAGAAATGAAGTGTACCATAGTGTAATGCACTTGAACCATCCCAAAACCACCCCCCCTTCCTCCGAGCCTGGAAAATGTGTCTTCTACAAAACTGGTCCTTGGTACCAAAAAGGTTGGGGACTGCTGCTGTAGGTGACACTGGTGTGTGCCAGTAGGAACACACCCACACACGTGCTCACACGCGTCCATACAGCATCCCCCTCACTGGGGCCAGGTCTTCCCTGTTTGGAAGGAACCATCCCGCCCTCCCCTCGCTCCCTTCCCAGCCGCCTGCTCGGGGTCTCCGAGCAGAACAACCCCACCAATTCATCAGGGGACGACAGCCTCTCAGAGCTGTTTGGGGGCATAAATCAAATGGCCAGGAGAAAAGGTTTTTTTTAAAAAAAAAGGTAGCGGAGAGAGAAAAATCAGGAAAGGGGTGGGGAGAAAAAGCAACGGCAGGAGAGAGAGGGGAAACGAGATCAAAGGGAAAACTTCAGAGATAACAGCATTATTTATTTTTCCTGCTCGCAGTCACTGGGTCTTTGAGGCCTCCACACTGATGTATTTGGACGTCTTGGGGCCGTCTGTTACCAGAGGCCACCCTAGCCCCTCTGCACGGGCCCAGCCCCCCTATAGGCATGCCAGTTCCATCAGCAGCGGCTGCTCCTGGAGTCTTTTGAAGTGGGTCCTGGTGGTGTTTATTCGCCTTCGTGTAAGAAACGTGTGCACAGTGCTGGCGGCTGCAGCTGCCCTGGGTGGAGGTGGGAGAGAAGGGGGTCCCCCCTCATCACTCATGAGCCTGTTTATTTGGGAACCAGAGCAGGCCTTTCTCCAGTTATTATTCAACGTCCTCTACAGGCTACACCCGCCATCCCCCATTCCAGAAGGTGGGGCAGGAATAACAAACATGCCGCCACCTCTGCCAGAGGCTCCCATCTTGTCTGGCCCCATGGTGTACTTGGCTTTCAGAGAAGAGATGGAGATGAAGGGCCCGCGAGGATGTTCAGCTGGTGGTCCCAAGAAGACTCAGAACAAGATGGTTAGAGGCATGGATCCAGCAGCCAGAACACCAGGGCTCAATAGTTCTGCCCCTAGTTACTATGACTCATGTGCAAGTGAACTTACTGAATCCTCGAATCAACTGGTCTTTCCCAGATGGGGGAAACTGAGGCCAAAAGAAGTCAACATATGCAAATAACTGAGTATTCAATACGGCAAATCCAAATGTCAGTGGTTCAAAACTTGGCGAATTGCTGAAGATTAACATGGTTCATCTTCAAGTATCAGCTCTCTCCATCCTCTAAGTTTTTTTTTTTTTTTTTTTGAGACAGTCTCACTCTGTCGCCCAGGCTGGAGTGCAGTGGCATGATCTTGGCTCACTGCAAACTCCACCTCCTGGGTTCACGCCATTCTCCTGCCTCAGCCTCCCGAGTAGCTGGAACTATAGGCACCCGCCACCACGCCCAGCTAATTTTTTTGTATTTTTTAGTAGAGCGAGGTTTCACCATGTTAGCCAGGATGGTCTCGATCTCCTGACCTCATGATCTGCCCACCTCGGCCTCCCAACTCCATCCTCTAATTTTTAACTCAACTGGTTGAAAGCTTAAGGCATTCTCTGTTCTAAAAAACTAGCTAAGTTTTGTGCTTAAGTTTAAATGGATAGTATTAAGGTTAATGAATAGTGTTGGTACAGAATGCAAGATTGTCATGTTCAACGGGGAACACCACTTTCCTCAAGTCACCATCAAATCAGTTAGGCATAATATTAAACTGGGTATATGAGCAAGACTCAAGTCAGATGGCAGAAGCTGACAGTTGAGGCTGGCACTTGCTGTGTGACCTGTGAAACACAGAGTCTAGCTCTTATTTTCTTCTCAGTAAGACAGATAGTTCCTTCCTTTGTGAGGTGTTTGCAAGGGTTCTATGGGATTTAAACACTTGTATAAACACGATGTGCCAAGCACTGTTCTGAGTGCCTGCTAAAACATTTGCTGGAGTCTCAGAACAGTCCTACAAAATAGATACTATTATTTCCATTTTACAGATGAAAAAACTGAGGCTGACAGAAGCAAACAAGGTTAAACAGCCTAACATTTCTAGGGGTATACAATAGATCAGAGGTTGACCGCTTAAAGTTTTATCTCATGTTCATAAGCCTTGACAGTTCATAATTGCAACATGGGCTGCTCTGTGCTGTAATCTCCGGGACAGGGTACTTTGGAACGCAAATAAGCAGGTGTAAGAGATGACTCTCCTGGAAGGGATATAGGAGAAAAATAGGAACATGCTCTCAGGCAGAGACATGTCCTGAGTCTCAGTGAGAGGTGGTAGCCCAGCCCACCCACTTGTTTCTCCTACAGAGTCAGGAACCAGTCCTGCAAGAGGGATTGTGGGCCAGCCAGATCCTGGTGGTTGGACCCTGGGCACCACTGGGAGTCAGGAGCAAGTGGGTTTTCCTGGGCATGCAGAGCTGAGGGAAGGCTCCTCCTGGGGGACAGAGGGAGGGCCATGCTAGCTTCTGGTTTGAGGCAAGAGAAGAAGTCATCCAGCAGACCACAGAGATGCTTCAGGTCCCTCTGAGGTTAGGGTAAGGAGTCTCCCGGAGTCAGCAGGGTTGCTGGAATTTATAGTTTGAGTACAGCTGGAGCCTACTTCACTCCATCCTGAGTGCTCCTCAGAGCCCTGCTGTCAGACACCAGCACAACAGGACCATGCCAGTTATTCAGCATTAATTAAGCCACCTGGATTCACATTTAGCCAATTTAGAAAAACTGAAGTGTATCTTTATTCTCCTCTGCCATCGAGGCTGTTCTAGAAATCACAGTGGCAAATGCTTCTCAAACTTCTCACTCTCACCCTCCCTTCATCTAATCCAAGCCTTGGAATAATCCTGCAGAAGGTGGCATAGCTAGAGTTTAGATAGTAGCCCATTCTTGAAATGGGGCCAGACCGGTGGTCTTCAGTTTGCCTTCCGCTCTTTGGCCCTCAAAGGTCCTGGCTGGGCTGTGCTGAGAAGGAAACTGAAGAGCAGTTCTCTGGAGGAGCTGCTTTTAGACAGTGCAGATGAAGACCCGAGACCCCTGACACAAGCTCACAGGCAGAGGGGGAAGGCTCTTGCTGGCGAGGTGCTCATTGGGTAAGGGGAGCAGTCTGGTTTTGATGTAGGAGTCATTTACTCACATCAGGAAAAGGGCTCAGGAAGGCAGTTGTTATGTGACCCTTGGCCAGCCTGGAAGCCCTGCAGACCCAGAAAACCACGATGTAGTCATCACATCGACTTTGTGCGATGCTTCTGACACAGCAGAAGTCCTCGCTAAATTCGTGTGATGTTCCAATGAAAACAGACATACATTTTTATTATAGGACCTTATTACTCAGGAAGGTACTGATTGATCTTCAGACCAGGTGGATCACTCAGAACACTGATGAGCCTTCTATCAATCACAAAAACTGGGACCTAAAGGCAAAGATTCTAGACTTTTCTCAGGTTCAGGTTTGCTATTGCTGCATTATCTTGAGGTTCCACTTAGAAGCTAAGTCAGTAAGAATTACAACTTTCTCTCCTCTTTTCCTGTCTCAGCCAGAGAACTTCTAAGAGTGTGTGGTTCAAGGATTTTTTTTCCTACTTGGTGTAACAGTGATGAACATCAGCAAATAGTCTTGAGGCTTTAATTTAAAGGTCACTTAAATCTTACCCAATCTAGAGAGAATCACATTTTACAGATGAGAAAACAGAGGCTCAGACCACCTCATGCAGCAGGCTTTCCCCAGATTCATACAGCTAGGAGGTGTTAGAAGTAGGGCACAGGATCCAGGTTGGCTGGGGTCTAGAATGCATGGTCTGAGTGGCTCTGCATGCCTAGAACTCCACTCAGGTGGGGACCTTGCCTCTCTTCCACACTGTGGAACAGCATCTGGGTGCTGGCTGTGATCTTGAGGCTCAGAGGTGAAGGGAGTTCCCAATTTCTTCATTGTTAAGACAGAAGTAGTGAAACATCTACTCTTTGGCCACAAAGAGGCACTGTAACAAACATGGTAGAGGATGAAAGATGGGGTCTTGATCTGTTGCCCAGGCCAGAGTACGGTGGCACAATCATAGCTCACTGCAGCCTCAAACTCCTGGGCTTAAGAGACTCTCCCACGTCAGTCTTCCTGGTAGCTGGGACTATAGGCACACACCGCCATGACCAGCTGGAAAGTGGGTTCTTTTGTCCGTGTTTTTCATAAATCTAAGTACGTTCAGAATGACCTTGAGAAGCAACAGCTTCTGTGGCACCCTCTAATGGAGGTGGGACCACTGGAACAGATGTGTCTCAGGTTCTTGGCCTTGCACTGGGGCCAGTCTCTGGGTGGCTGCCAGGTCTCTGCAGGTATTTCAAGGCTTTAGGGTCATACCAGACACCAGACAGAAGCGCAGTGGGAACGGTGGTGGCTGCTTCTGAGCAGCTGCCCAGATGCCTCCACTTTGAAGTTCTCAAACATGCTGAGCCCAGAGCCAGAAAGCACTGAAGTTGGTGTTCTTGTCTTTAATCAGAAGTGTTTCAAGTGTCCGATTTAAGAGTTAAGAAAAACCCAGCACTAAACTTGTAGTCTTGGAATATACTTTTACTTTGGAATAATTGTAAGTGTACAGAAAAGTTACCAAGTAGAGAGAGTCCTGTATATCCTTCACCCAGCTTCCCCTAATGTCAACGTTTTACATTACCATGATACATTTGTCAAAATTAAAGTGAATATTGGTATATTGCTACTGACTCCAGACTTCATTTGGATTTCAGCAATGATTAACTATTGACTTTTTGTTCCAGGATTCAACCCAAGGTACCACAGTGCATTTAGAAGAGTATTAATTTTTAACATAAGACAGGGAATATACTTCCTAAAGCCAAGTCACACACACAAAAAAGGTCCTCTTTAACTCCTGGCTTCCTGCCCCAGTGCCATTAAGTTCCATCTCTAGTCTTCTCAACTACAGATTATAGTCTTCTGTCCAATATGGTACCCATTACCCAATGGGGGCAATTTCAAATTAAATCAAAATTAACATTCGGTTTTTTTGGTCATACTGGCTATACTAAGTGCTCAATAGTACACATTGTTAGTGGCTATGGCACTGAGCAGGACAGATATAGAACACTTCCATACATACACAAGCTGCACTGTTCTAGACTTTCTCATGTGTCTTCCTACAAGTGGATACTTAAATACATACTTTTTTTAAACTTGGTTTTTTAATGCAGTACAGACTGCTGCACATAAAATGGGAATTTAACCTAATGTGTTTGAGATCATCCCACACTGGTTTATACTGATCTTCCTCATTCATTTCAGCTGCTGCAGAGTGTGGGTTTCTCATTATGTAAGTCAGGCACTTTTGATGAGCACTTAGGTTATTTCCAGTTTCTTCCTAATGAAGGCTACAAGGAACATCCTTGTTCATTCTGGGAGCCCTACATTGATTTGATTCAGGGTAGAGGGGCTTAGGTCAGGAATAAAAATATTGCCTCTAAAAGCTCTTTCTGTGTCACAAGAACTGTGTTCAGACTGATGGCCAGAGTGGAGAGAAATCAGCAAAGCTGCCACATGGGCAGGAGGCCAGGAGCCATCCAGACATGTTTTGGGCCACTTTGGAGAGAAGTGGTCTAGAGATGCCATTTGGGCACCCACAGAACAACATGATAATCGGACTGGAAAGTTGCATCTAACCAGTCCAAGGGGCCAAACTGTACAGTTTGATTGGCAAATACTAACTGCATAATAAAAATATCAGTAGCTGGATCTAAAGCAGTTATGTGGCAGCTTTGTACAAGCCCTAGGTAATACCATAATCCTTAACTCTACTGGGTTGAGTTATATTATCACCATTTTACAGATGGGGAGACTGGTGAAAGGTTAGGGACTTTCTTCATTCTGTTCCCTCAAAATATTCTAGATGTAAGTGGCAGAGCTGGGCATGAACTTGACAGAGCCCATGATTCTAACATGTCACTAGTCACATTCTTGTGCATGGGACAGCATGTCAAGATGGTGCAGAGAATTTCCACATACCCTTCACCCAGCCTCCCCTGGTGTCCCATGGTAATGTAAGATGTGGATGTTTGTCAAAAGAAGTTAACTTTGTGCATTACTATAAACTATACGCTGGACTTTGGATTTCAATTTTTCCACCCATGTCCTGTTCTCCTCACTGCCCACGACAGAAGGAAGACTCATTTCTGCAGCTATTGCCTCCTTTTTGTTGGGGATGGGGCAGGTCCTGAGGGTGCTGTGTTCTCCAACCCAGGCCTGTCTAAAATCAGACCGTGCACCATCCTTGCTGAGTGATCTCAGGCAGGTTGTACTTGAAGATTTATGTTCTCGTTTGCAATGTGATTAAGTGCTCAGAGCTATAGAAACCAGGCAAGTCTTGGTAGAGTGAGATTTGAACTGGGCCTTAAGGAATGGGTACAATTTGGGGGTGGGTTGGAATAGAAGTCACCACTGGCTCTGAACACAGACGTCATCTTATGTGCCAATGTTTCAGCCCTCCCTCCGAGGCAGCAGTTTCAGGCACAGAGAAACCTAGTATTTAATCACTGACAAATCGCAGGCTCAGACGCTTTGGATACCCCAAATCTTGAGTATTTCTGACCCAATTCAGCCAACGATTCAGCCATGTGACTTTAGTGTGGGGTCTACAACCCCTGCTGAGGCAGATTTACTGTTGGTTGTACAGCATGTGTTGGGGGGCCCCCCCTTCAAGTGCAACATACTGTGACTCAACCTAGACAGATCTTCTGACAGCCATAGGCCATGGGCCCATCTGTAAGACTTCTATCCCAAGCATCCTCAGTGTTTTTTCATAGTGGGAGAGCACTGTGCTGTGGCTTCAATTCTACCCCTTGTTTATTACAGAGGGCCTCCAACAATGGGCTCTTGAAGAAACATCACTTCCATCACTTCCCCTGGAACATTAAGTATCTAGGGACCTAGGCTCCACTTCCAAAGTCACAGTCCCTGGGGATAGGGCACAGGCTTCAAATATATAATACATTATATATATATATATACACACACACACACACACATATATATACATATATACACACTATATATACACACATATGATATATATGTGTGTATATATGTGTGTATATATAGTGTGTATATATGTATATGTGTGTGTGTGTGTGTGTGTGTGTGTATATATATATATATATAATTGAGTGATTGGATCAAAGCCAGATTAAAGAGTTACAATCCTGAATGTTTTCCAAGATTGTTTTACAGCCATCACTTCAAGGAGTCGTTTGTGAAGAAGGTACCACTTATGATACCTTGGGTGTGATGTGCAAAATCCGGCCTCTGCTCACGTTGTCATTCTTGTACCATCCAAATCAAGTCCCTCAACTTTTCTCCCACTGAGTGAGTCCATAAGGGAGTCAATGCAAGCCACTTCTCTTAACTGTATTGGTGGAAAACTGCATTCCAGTTATTGGATAAATAGTGAGGATTAAGCAATAGTTTGTAATAAATATAATATCTGAGAGATTATACTTTGCCAGAGCTCCCCAACCAAATTAAGCTTCTTTCAAGTGTGTGGTATAAGTAGAGAAATGTATGCAACCACTTTGTCTTGTGTTCAGAATGTACTTGTACCCTGAACAAAAACTTCACCAGGGCTCCATGCACATGTTCCCAGCAAAGACCCTTTGCGTAGTAATAGCTCCATTGAGAAACTTTAAGTACATTTTCTGAATTTTACTGGTTTATAAAAGTTATATTTGGTTATTAAGTCAGGGTACCTAATAATCTTCATCTCACATTAAAGGGGCCCACCTCCAAAGCAATACAACTTAAATAGTCAAGTCTCCTATTCATCCTTACTCCCTGAATTCTGCTACCCAGAATTCACTATTGCTGTTTTACATTTGTATCTTTGTAGACTAGTGGTTCTTAACTGGGAGTGATTTTTGTCCCAGGGATGGCTAACAACGCTTAGAGACATTTTTGGTTATCATACCCGGATGGTCCGACTGGTATGAGTGGATAGAAACCAGGGATCCTGCTAAACATCCTGTAATACATAGGACAGTCCCCAAAGAATTATCCAGACATAAATATCATTAGTGGTGAGGCTGAGAAACCCTGTTCTACATATAGTCTGTGCATGTACAGATATAGTTTGTGCAAATGTCTCCAATTGCGCAAATCTATACAATTGCATGCGTATTGTAGTAGCTGTTCTGAATCTTGTTGTTTTGTACTTAGTATTGTGTACTTAGCATTGTACTTAGACATCTGTATTGTTCTGTTGTATGCATGTACCATAGAGCATTTAGGGAAAAATGGGAAACCTAATACTGGTTACTAAAATGCCTCAGTAGCTACATCTTTGCGCATTTACCCCATGACCTGAAGTCTTGCGCTATTGCAGATGTGTTTTCTGTATCTAAGTGAAATGACTCCTAGGCACCAATAACAGACTGTCAGCTTGGGTTTGCATAACTGCACTCTCCTGGTTGTGTTAGTGCCTGCATGTGTACACACAATCCTGTGAATCATTTAGCCACTGGGGCCTTGGAGGGATCCTCTCTTAAAACCAGACCCACGCTGAGAGCTCAGGCTCTTGTAGACAGTTGCTCTCCGGGTCGTAAGCCTGGAAGCACACCCGTCATGGCTTTGAAATCCACCTCAGATGCCAGCTGAAAACAGAGGCTTTGCATAATCAAATTGACGGATGAAGCTGGGCTTGCCCTGCTAGGGACAGACTCATTCATATCCTGGTTTAAAAGAAATATTGCATTTTTAAAGAGGAAAGAAACATATTTAAGAGATAAAGGGAGGGGGAAAAAAAAGAAAAGTTTTCTGGTCATTAGTTATAATAAAACACAGGGGGAAAAATTCACTTTAAAGGCATGCTAAAGCCCTGTAATCTTCAAAGAAACAGGCGGCTCAGCTGCCTGGGAGGAGAAACTTCACCAGAAGACCACCATTTCCCGTTGATTGCAAACAGCCAAGGTGAAGGGCTGCAGCTGTGGGTGGAACATGCCAGGTTAGGAACGAGTTATTTTCCTACCTAGCTAAGATCAGCTTACTCTTTAGGTACTGCTTAAACTAGGTACAGGGGGAAAGGTGCTGTTTTCCAAGCCTACCTGAAGACCCTAATGCCAAAATGTCCACCCTTGCTTTTTTGGGGGAGTCTCAAACTTTGCTGCCTGTTGGGACTCCGTATGATAAGGTCACCGTTCCATTTAACTCCATCAGATCATTGCCATGTGAGAATGTGAGTTCATGGTTGCCAGACTTTCTCATTGGTCACAAGCAACCCCAGTGCTGGGTTTTATGTCATATGTCCCCGATTGCACACATCAAATAGCATGCTTGCAACTGAAGTGGGCTCTGCTGCAGCCAGTTTGCCAATTATTGGAGGTATTGAAAGCCTTAGACTATCCTGAAAGGTGACAATTAACACCACTATATTGATGGTGGAACATGGCTTTGTTTATCCTACGAACTCCTGGTGTGACCACCCACAGTGTTATAACTACCTTTTTGGGGTATGGGTTTGGATTAGGGAAATACTTTGCTTTCCTAGCCCCACTAGAAAGCCAATTCCTGGACAACCTAACTCCCATTTCCAAGAACACTTCTTAGGGCATAAGACAACTTAAGTACTTTTGGGAACAAAATCTAAAGAGGGGGGCTTTGCAAGCTTTTCAATGTTAAAGACAGTATTTTCTGCTTATCCTCCCCTCGTCCCAATTAAGAAACCCTGAATCACCCTGGAGGAACGGGAGAACTCCTGCCTCTGAACCCTCCTTCCTTCACATTCATTTCGCTGCGGCTTGCTCTGCCAAGCAGGACCTACTCCCAACACATGCCTTTTAAGCTGCAGGTTGCAACCACCTGTTAGAGGCCTTAAAATTTAGTGGCTTGAGAAAGGGTTTGAGTAGTGAAAACAAATAGAAAAATCAGTTTCCTAACAAGGCAGATTAGTAAAGTGAGGTTGCCTCCAAATACTTTTGTTTCAGTTACATATACACATGTGGCCACACTGGGTTGGGGGCAGTAGTGTCCTTAAGCCAACCCCTACTGTGAAGGTCTATTTTGCACATCTCTTCCTGATTCTACATTGTGACTTAACTAGTGGTTTGAAATAGTCAGGTGTATTTGTGTTACAGAAATCAGAATACAAAGTCTTTCCCCCAAAGAGCTCGTCTCTGTGCAATTAGTGGTATACGGGTAAATGTTAATGTGTCAAACTTCAGCTCATGAGGAAATCATGTAGGTCGAGTTCCCTGGGACCTGTATGCAGGTGGCTTACTGGGGAGAACACTCATGAGCAGTACCTGTGGGGTACTGGGGAAGGGAGATTTTGTTTCCTATGGGAGAAACTGTAGTTCAGCTGCAAGGTAACTCAGCTGACCCCATGGAGAGCTTTGAAACAGAGACTGCTTTTCAGAGCTATCTCAAGTTGGAGTGAAGAGAGATGGGCTTTATACCCTTCATAGTCATGGAATGTAGGTTGCCCCCAGGAAGGGAGCATGCTAGCTAGCAGAGGCTGTCTTCAGCAGAGGGTAATTCCTGAAGAGCATCTGATGCATGAGCCACCAGCAGCCCAAACTCACAGCACCCAGGGGAATTACATCTCAGTTTTGAAAGATGAGACCTGGGTAGCACACCGTGGTGTCCCCAATTTTAGAATCTAGCTGCAGGAAAGAGTGGAAAAAGCATGCTATCACATGTGAATGAACCTAAGGTGGCCTGCTAGATAATAGACCACACAGCCCAGCTGTCCTAGCCAAGACCATCTCAGATCTGTTTATAGCCAGCTGATTCCCAAGGATGTGACAAAGCCCAGCTAGGGTCAGCAGAGCTCTCTCTCCAGCTGACCAGAGGAGCACTAAATGAGCCCAGCTGAGACCAGAAGAGCCACCATGCTGACTCGGACTCAGTACCAATAATACATGCTCATCCTTTTAAGCCACTGTTTATTATTATACTTTAAGTTCTGGGGTACATGTGCAGAACATGCAGGTTTGTTACAAAGGTATACACGTGCCATGGTGGTTTGTTGCACACATCAACCCATCATGTACATTGGGTATTTCTAATGCTATGGAGTTTCCTCAAAAAAAGCTAGAGCTACCATATATTCTAGCAGTCTCACTTATGGGTATATACAGGAAGTTAGGATCTTGAGTTATCTGCATTCCCATGTTCATTAGAGCATTATTCACCATAGCCAAGATGTAGAAACAACCTAAATGTCCAATGATGAATAAACGGATAAAGGAAGTAAGGCATATACACAGATGGAACATTCAGCCTTAAATGAAGTTAAGCCACCAAGTTTTGGAGTAAGTTTTACGTAGTAATAGCTAGCTGATACAATGTCTGAGGCAATTTTTCTGGGTAGAGCCACACAGAAATGAAAGGATGAAAGGATGTTTTTAGTTGAACCTCTAACCTGTTTTTGAGCCCTTTAAGAATAAACTTGATTCTGAAGGCAATAGTGAGCTATAGAAGGTTATTGAGCAAAAGTATCCCAAATACTGTCTTTCTGGAATTGGACTTTTAGTTTTAGATTTGGGAATACGTGTGCAGGTTACATGGATATATTGTGTAATGGTGAGGTTTGGGCTTCTAGCAGATCCATCACCCAAATAGTGAACATTATATCCAGTAACCCTCATCCCCTCCCACCTTCCTTAGCTTGAGTCCCCAGTGTATCATTTCCATCTTTAAGTTCATGTTTACCCATGGCTTAGCTCCCATTTATAAGTGACAGTTCGGTATTTTAGCCCATTTGAGTTGTTTCACTGAGGATAATGGCCTCCAGCTCCACCCATGTTGCTATAAAGCACGTGATTTCATTTTCATGGCCGAATAATATCACATGGTGTACATGTACCACGTTTTCCTTATCCAATCAACTGGTGATTAACACTTATGTAGGTTCCATGACTTTGCTGGAATCAGACTGGTCTAAGACTTTTGGCTACTAGAAACTGATCTTCTCAAGTCAGCTCATTAGAGTTACCTTAAGCAGTGGTTTTAGGGGTGTAGATCTCAAAGTCTATGGATAGGAAAAAAGAGGTCTGGGCCTGCTAGGAGCCAGAAGGCTGTCAGTGACAGAGGCTACTTTCCATCTCTCTGTTCCCACATGATCTCTTTTCTACATCTCTGTAGCTCTGCTTAATTCTGTTTGAATGACAGAAGACGCTAGTCTTCAAGTATTTGGATACTTACTGTGTGCAAAGTCAGGACTGCTCTTCTAGTCATTTCTCTGCTTGCATTTACATCAATTCCTCATCCTTCCTTGCTCTGCATATAAAGAGCCCTGTAGGCTATGTTTCCTAGGCTCCCTTGCCAGTGGTATTTGTTTGTGAGTTCAACAAATAGAAACCCAAGAAAAGGAGAAACCGGAATATTTCTCCTCGGATGTGGTCTCATCTGGTTTTAGCTCGTCTTGCCAGCCACTTCTCCCCGGTCATCAACTACTGCTGGGAAAGCCTGAAGTATTTCCAGCTTTAGCACAATGGCACCAACTTCCGGGCTCTGGTGGTGCTGCCTCTTCCATTTCTCCAACATTAATGTAGTAGTGGCTTCCAGCTGTTGCTAATCTCTGGGTGATCTCACATACTGTTTGCTCTAGGGATGGCTTAAGGGCTTTGAAACTGGCTCTCCATGTTAGATTCCCTTTGAATTTCCTGGCATTTTCCCCCATGGCTGGGGTCTTCCTCATCAGCCACCATGATGGGCCATATAGGTATACACTGCACAAATCCAGGGTGCCTTTCAGAGAACCCACTTTGAGACCTGTCAAAGACGCATTGCACTGGGTAACCCATTCTGTTGTTGGGGATATAGCAGCGAACACAATGAAATCCCAGGTTTCATGGATGAGGTTGTGTTCTATCTTGGAACACAACCAAGCTGCTGGCCAGGAGACTCAGCACAGAGGGGTACTAAGGCCTGGCCATTTCTCCCCAGTGCAGGACTCTTCTCATAAGCAGTCTTTGTCAGCTCCTTGTTAACTGATGCTGTGTCAGGTCTACTCTGCAGGCTGAGGCTCTCCCTGTCCAGTTCTACTTCCATCTTTCAGACATTCGAGGTATGCTGGTAAGTATTTAACAACCAGTTCTGATTTATCGCGTTTACCAATTTCTGAGGTGTAAATACTCCCATCGTGACCAGTTGAGCTCCCCATGTGACATCACTGAACACAGTAGAGAAGTGATACCAGCTCCAGCTTAGAGGAATTGCCCTTGATAGGCCGCTTTCCCTTTTAACACTTTGCATGTTTTCTGGAAGACTCAACAGATCTGATCATCCTAATTTGAGCTCTCCCTCTTCCCACATCTCATCCCCTCAGCATGTCACGTAAGCTCCATCTCAGATCCTAGATCTGCCCACATCCTTTCCATTGTTCTAGAGAGAATGAAAGCAAGGAGGCCAGTTTACTTCATGATACTTTAAAATCTTAACACTTCTAGCTTCCCATTGGCCTAAGAATAAAAGCTAAGCTTCTAAAGAGACTTACATCAGCCAGCCTGCTTTGTCCTTTCCAAAGGTGTCTCCTACCACTTTCCCCCAGCCATATCAGCCTTCTTACAGTTTGACACCAAGCTCAGTTGCATCTAACCACTTTGCTTTTATTGTTCCCTCAACCTGGATGTTTTTCACATCTACTGTTGGCATAGCTGGCTTGGTGTTCAGAGCTTAGTCCAGTCAGCTGCGAGGCCAGAGTGTTTACGGGTATCAATAGGGCATTGCAATGGAAAGTGAATGCTAAATGTACCTGATAGCAGTAACTTAAGCATGCCCTGAGAAAGGCCCTGTAGGGCAGATGCATCTGAATGTGTGTTCCAAGCTAGGGAATCCAGGAGCAGCCAACTGGGAGATTCCTTCCTTGTCCATGAGGAACATCCAAGTCCCCAGCCCATCCTATGACACATAGACTATACAGGGGAGTAGAGGCCCCAAGTTTTGGGTTGAATGAAGATTGCCAGGTAGGATGTTGTTGCCAAGTGAAAGTGCTGTATAAGCTGCATGCTTTTTGCAAGCGGTCATGGTTCTTCTGCCCAGCTTGCTGCCATTAGGCTATATATAAGGCAGTCCAGCTTGCTGCCATTAGACTATATATAAGGCAGTTCTGTTCAGGCCACTGCCACTGGACTACAACTTGTATGTAAGCTCCCAACAAAACCCCAATTCTAGCCTGCTGGCTCTGGGTCTCTTTGATCTCTTGAACCTGGTATCCTCCCCATTGGAGTCAATAGGGGGTTCAGCACCACAGGGCATACTGCTGTTGGATCAGGAGATTTATGGCACTTCATGAAAGTACGAGATGTTATCTCTGTTCACTTCTGTATCCTCAGTAGTTGCAGTGCTGGCACATGGTATTTGTTGGCTGCATTGGCGAAGGCTCCTGAACTGACCCAAGCATGAGCTGGAACCAGATGCAAGCCAGCAATCTGTCTCCCACATCCACCTGGCCCACCTGGAGGTTCACCTGCAACTTCAGTGGACAGTTCTTGGCACATGACCTTTAGGCTGTTGGCCTCCCACCTTGAAAGCACCTGAGTCTGAGGGTGTTCTCTGGCCATAGGAACATCTAGAAGCACACACAGCAATCCAGAAGTGCTTACAGGTTAATACCCAGAGGGACGAGTCCACCCCCATGAAAGATGGGGTCAGTGGTTAAATATTACCCCCACAGCTTCTGCACTCCTTGGAGAACAATCCTGAGATTTGTTCTGAGCAGGCTCTCAAGTGGTCCCCCCATCTTGGTCCACTGTGGCTGCTATAACAAAATGCCATAGATTGGGTGGATTCTAAGATTTCTCATGGTACTTGGAAGTCCAAGATCAAGGGAGTGACAGATTCAGTGTCTGGTGAGGTCATGTTTCCTGGTACACAGATGGACACTTCTTGCTGCATCTTTGTAGGGTAGAAGAGGCAAGGTAGCTCCGAGGCCTCTTTTATAAAGGCTCTAATCCCATTCATAAGGGCAGAGCCCTCATGATCCAATCGCCTTCCGAAGGTCCCACCTACACTACCATCACATTGCTGGCGGGGCTAGGTTTTCAACTGTTAATCAGTTTAGCCTAAAGCTGCCTCAAGTTCAGCCTAAAGGTTGTTCTGTATATTGTGAACTATAACAAGTGGGAGTTGCAAAGTGACCGTAGCCACACCTGTGCCAATTACCAAGTTTTGGCCAAATGTAGCCCACTGTTCAAACTGTGTTCAAATAAGGCAAATGCCAACCTTTAACCAATGCAGCTGTTTCTGAGACTCGCAGCTGTTTCTGAGACTCACTTCTGATTTCTGTAAGTCATTTCCCTTTTTTATCTATAATTCTACCACATAGCTGCGTTGGAGTCTCTCTGAATCTACTGTAATTCTGGGGGCTGTCCGAATCGCAAATCACTCCTTCCTCAATTAAACTCCTTTATATTTAATTCAGCTAAAGTTTTAACATAAAAATTTGGAGTGGGATGGGGGGGATCCAAGTATTTAAACCACAGCATAGACCACAGCAGTCCCCGATGGGATAAAGACCAATTGCTGCCTCCTTAACAGCCCCTTTCAACTGGGAGGTCAGCCCAGGAAAATACACAATAAGGTAGGAAAATGAGCGAAGGGAAGAAGATCAGGCGGGAAGCTTAAGTGGTACCTAAATTCTCATCTCAGTTTGAGATCTTTCAAAAGCAGATACTCAGCCAAAGTCAGCTGAGCTGGTCCCAGGATGAGCAGGGGTGTGTGATACCCAATATAAAGCCTCCATGTCAGGCTTAAGAGTTATTTAGTCCCAGGAATTTGTCGCTGGACAGAAGCCATCAGCTGCACAGACCTGCTGTTTACTGCACAGCAGCAGGTGTTTTCGGGGCTTTCAAAGGTAGAGGGCCCACCTTGATCCACTTAGCCTGGGCATTCCAGGATGGAGATGGCAGGACCTGCTCCACACGTGGAAGCCTTCAGGGGAAAGTCTGGTCTCGAAGATTTAGAGGTTGTAATCTCCTGCCTTGATCCGCTTTCCCAGACCCTCCCGTTCTGCATTCTCTACCTACTCTGAAGTTATTGGGGCCTGGTGTGAATTTAGGGACGATAAAACCATCAAAGGGCTTGTCCTCAGAACAATCAATTGGGAAGCCTGCAATAAAGAGACATCCTCCTCAGGAAGGTGTGACTTCAAGGCCAACCCATGAGACCTGGAAAGGGCCTCCTCCGAGGAGTCAGGCAGGGTCCACACCTGGGAAAGATTAAGGTGCCATCTGTCCCAGACATAAGTGGACATACCTCCTTAGCTGCAACACAGATCCATCTTCCAGGGTATTGGGAGTGAGGTCACCATCCTCCCTGAGACACCAACTCTAGTTGTCAATGGCTCTGGTACTCCCTAGAAATTCAGCTGCCCTTTTGCCACCACATACCTACAGGGTCAAAGTCTCCACCCCCGGGACCTAGGAACCCAACATCATCCAAGCAAGCTCCTTCATTCCACCACTCTTTGGCCATCCTAGCACACAATGTCATCTTACATTTTTACCATCTGGCCCTTCTTGACAATCTTGACTTGCAGGACCAAGTCTCTGAATGCATCCAGAGGTCTGTCCTGCGGGGCAGCAGGCGGTGGGAGGGTTGGGATGTTGAATAACAAAGTAGGTGTGCTCCAAATCTCTGCCCTCATGAAGCTTCTTTTTCATGGGAGAGTACTACCTACCTTCTCATCTTTCTATGACCTGAGGAGAGCTGGGAGGCAAAGCAGGGTGAGAGAGGGAGAGTAATAGGGACTGCGGTATTAGAAAGTAGCATCAGCTCAGTGTTACCTTCCCAGGAAATTTCATAAGACCTGCATGAGAGAAAGTGAGTCATGTGGTACATAAAGTGTGTTCCAAGGGTAAGTGCTCAAGAAAGGAACATGCTTAGGTCAAAGGACAGCAGTGGGTCCAGTGTCTGCTATTTTCTTCTTTCCCCTTACCTGTGATGTTTCCTTTGTCTGCACATTCCTTCTTCCTACTATCTTTCATGTAGCCAAGTCCTACTCACATGACCTTTGGAACTCAGCACAGACACCACCTCCTCCAGGAAGCCCTCCCATGCCCCATCCCTGCATACCATGTTTCCTTGTGCTACATACCCAGATCCCCTTCAGCTGCTGGCTCACGCTGTCAGCCCCTCATTGAGATGCAGAGAACAGCTGAGTCTAAGATCATGCACATCTATGTAGCTCACAGCCAATAACACCCACACAGAGGTATGAAGCCTTGGCCAGACCACCTCTCAAAATGCCTCTGAGGGGCCATCCCAGCTCCCAAGCTCTCCATGTGGTTGGCTAAGGCTGCTGTTGGGCCCACACTGCAGCTCACCTCCCTTTTTCCCCTCCTTTCCACAGGGGTTGAGCCCAAGGGCACCCCTAAAACACATCTTTTCAGGGTCTCCCAAAAAGACTCAACCTGTGATTTTCCCCAGTAGCATTTAGAGTATATTAAAATAGTAGCGACTACAAATGAGAAGGCAGTTACAATCTCCTTGAGACAATCTATCCAGAGCATCTGACATGCTAGATACTGAGGACTTGTTGGATCTCATGAGAACCAACGTGATCACACCATTGAATAACATTCCTGTTTCACAGATAGATTGTCATCTCAGAGCCCTTTTCCCAAACAGCTCGGCCAAGGTTTCGTAGCAGGTAAGAGTCACAGCTAGGACCTGACACCAAACGTATGCCCTTAGGCATTAGTCTATGGCAGCCTCTGACTTCCCAGCTTGTCTATCTCCACTTCACTGTCAATCTCAAGTTGAGTCATTGATCTTGCCTCCATTTACACAGCCCCAATCACATTGGCATCTCAAAAGGCACCTGAGTGCCTAGAATGGACATTCAGTCCCTTGACAGCTATTGCTGAGTCCTCTTGATGACATCTCATTTCTTTTAAACTCCCCCATCTGGGGGCATGATTCCTTTCTGTGCTTCCTAGTGTAGAGACTACAGACCATCACCTACTGTTCCAACTGAAAGGCCTGCCCTTTAATTAGCCAGCACACACTTTTTTAACAGGAGACCACAAGATCTTAGAGCTGGGGGAGGGCGGGCTGACTTGTTCACAACCACACAGCATTGGAATGGGCTGATTTATATCTCGAAGATAGTAAGGTGTGTGTGCTTACAGGCACCTCATGATACGAGAAAAGGGGGAACTACTCTAGGGTCTGAGTCAGCAAAAGGTCCTCATGCTTTGCTCGCAAGCGCTGTAGCTGAAAAAGTTTGGGACCCAGGACAGAGGTAAGCTGTATGTCATCAGCAGACCCCTGCCACTTCGTAGTGGGAAGAGTAATGGATTAGGGATCAGGATTCGAATCCAGAGGAATTTCAGGATACAGACTTGTGCCAGCTTCTCCCCATTTTCCAGCTGGGAAAACTAAGCCCCAGAAGCCAAGCAACCCCTTCCATCTCCTAGCCTTCATTAGGGATAAGTGCCTCTGATTTACAGCTTTTATGAACTTTACATCCTTTTCTCAGCAACCCTGCATCTGTAACTCTTTGGGGCTGAGCAACTGTGAAAGGTGATGCCTCCCTTACAGCAAGGTGGGATCTGCAGGTAGGGAGGATCTTTCGTCTCTCATAGATTCTATGTGTCTCCAGCAAGGATTCCTAAGTATTTTTTGTGCTGAGCATAGAGTTGACTGACCTGCGTTTTGGGGAGGGTCATCCTGAAGACAGTCATCACGTTAGCAGCGTGGAAAAAGGCTTAGGGTCAGATCTGTGTTTGAAGATCAGTGTCAGGCTTCTGAGCCCAAGCTAAGCCATTATATCCACTGTGACCTGCACATATACATCCAGATGGCCTGAAGCAACTGAAGATCCACAAAAGAAGTGAAAATACCTTAACGGATGACATTCCACCATTGTGATTTGCTTCTGCCCCACCCTAACTGATGAATGTACTTTGTAATCTCCCCAACCCTTAAGAATGTTTTTTGTAATTCTCCCCACCCTTGAGAATGTACTTTGTGAGATCCACCCCCTGCCTGCAAAACATTGCTCCTAACTCCGCCGCCTATCCCAAAACCTATAAGAACTAATGATAATTCCACCACCCTTTGCTGACTTTCTTTTTGGACTCAGCCCACCTTCACCCAGGTGATTAAAAACTTTATTGCTCACACAAAGCCTGTTTGGTGGTCTCTTCACTCAGATGCACGTGACATTTTGTGCCTAAGACCCGGGTCAGAGGGACTCCTTCAGGAGACCAGTCCCCTGTCCTCACTCTCACTCCATGAAGAGATCCACCTACGACCTCAGGTCCTCAGACCAACCAGCCCAAGGAACATCTCACCAATTTCAAATCGGGTAAGCAGTCTTTTCACTCTCTTCTCTAGCCTCTCTCGCTACCCTTCAATCTCCCTGTCCTTCCAATTCCAGTTCTTTTTCCTCTCTAGTAGAGACAAAGGAGACATCTTTTATCCATGGACCCAAAACTCTGGCACCGGTCACGGACTCGGGAAGATAGTCTTCCCTTGGTGTTTAATCACTGCAGGGACGCCTGCCTGATTATTCACCCACATTCCACTGGTGTCTGATCACCGCAGGGACGGCTGCCTTGGTCATTCACCCACATTCCCTTGGTGGCAAGTCAATTGCGGGGATGCCTGCATTGGCTGCTCACCCACATTGCAGCCCAGGGCTGCTCCCCACCCCCCTTCTCTGTGTCTCTACCCTTCTCTTTAAACTTGCCTCCTTCACTATGGGCAACCTTCCACCCTCCATTCCTCCTCCTCCCTTAGCTTGTGTTCTTAAGAACTTAAAACCTCTTCAACTCTTGCCTGACCTAAAATCTAAGCATCTTATTTTCTTCTGCAACACCACTTGTCCCCAATACAAACTCGACAATGGTTCTAAATGGCCAGAAAACAGCACTTTTGATTTCTCCATCCTACGAGACCTAGATAAACTTTTGTCAAAAAATGGGCAAATGGTCCGAGGTGTCTTACGTCCAGGCATTTTTCACATTTCATTCCCTCCCTAGTCTCTGCTCCCAATGCAACTCATCCTAAATCCTCCTTTCCCTCCCACCTGTCCCTTCAGCCCCAACGCCAAGCGTCACTGACTCTTGTGAATCTTCCTTTTCTACTGACCTATGTGACCTCTCACCTTCTCACCAGACTGCTCCTCCTCAGGTCGCTCCCCGCCAGGCTGAATCAGGCTCCAACTCTTCTTCAGCCTCTGCTCCCCGACCCTATAACCCTTCTATTACCTCCCCTCCCCACACCTGGTCTGGTTTACAGTTTCGTTCTGCCACTAGCTCTCCCCCACCTGCCCAACAATTTCCTCTTAGAGAGGTGGCTGGAGCTGAAAGCATAGTCAGGGTACGTGTGCCTTTTTCTCTATCAGACCTTTCCCAAATCAGCCAGCATTTAGGCTCTTTCTCATCAGACCCCACTAAATATATACAGGAATTCTGATATCTAACTCTCTCCTACAATTTAACATCTAGTGACTTAAATGTCATCCTAACTTCTACCCTCTTCCCAGATGAATGGGAAAGAGTTTTTTCTCTAGCCCAATCTCATGCTGATAACCTCCAGCTTCATGAGCCAGACCTCCAGAAAGGCATTAAAGCAGTTTCCCAAGAGGATCCCCAATGGAGCTATCAGGCAGATTCCCCAGGTATAGCTAGGCGAGATTATATGGTTTCCCGCCTAGTTGAAGGGCTTAAAAAGGCAGCTTACAAAGCTGTTAATTATGACAAGCTTAAAAAAACTACCCAAGGTAAAGACGAAAACCCAGCCCAGTTCATGGCCCGCTTAGCGGCAACCCTTACACACTTTACCGCCCTAGACCCAGAGGGGCCAGAAGGCCGCCTTATTCTTAATAGGCATTGCATCACCCAGTCAGCTCCTGACATTAGAAAAAAGCTTCAAAAATTGGAATCCGGCCCTCAAACCCCACAACAGGAATTAACCTCGCCTTCAAGGTGTACAATAGAGAGGAGGTAGCCAGACAGCAACATATTTTTGAGTTACA
Source organism: Homo sapiens (assembly GCF_000001405.40). Taxonomy (NCBI): domain Eukaryota; kingdom Metazoa; phylum Chordata; class Mammalia; order Primates; family Hominidae; genus Homo; species Homo sapiens. The sequence continues at coordinate 114,057,991 of NC_000012.12, forward strand.
GCTACTTACCTCCACTGTAAGACAACCCACAACCACGTATGTCTCCAGCATACAAGAACTTCAGAACATTCAAGCCACAGTTCCCAGGGGCTCCTTCAAAACATCCTCATGGACCTTGCTTCAAATGCCAAAAGCCCGGCCACTGGGCCTCAGAATGCCCAGAGCCCGGGATTCCTCCTAAGCCGTGCCCTGTCTGTGTGGTCCCCCAGTGGAGGTCAGACTGTCTGACTCACATCACCGCTGCTCCTAAAGCCCCTGGAGCCCAAACCCAATGTTCCTTGGCCGACTCCTTCCCAGATCTCCTCGGCTTAGCAGCTGAAGACTGACACTGCCCAATCGCCTCGGAAGCCCCCTAGACCATCCCGGATGCTGAGCTTTGAGTAACTCTTACAGTGGAAGGTAAGTCCGTCCCCTGTTTAATCAATACGGGGGCTACCCACTCCACATTACCTTCTTTTCAAGGTCTGTTTCCCTTGCCCTCGTAACTGTTGTGGGTATTGACAGCCAAGTTTCAAAGCCCCTTAAAACTCCCCCACTCTGGTGCCGACTTGGACAACATTCTTTTAGGCACTGTTTTTTTGTTATCCCCACCTGCCCAGTTCCCTTATTAGGCCAAGACATTTTAACCAAATTATCTGCTTCCCTGATTATTCCTTGACTACAGCCATATATCATTGCCACCCTTCTTCCCAACCCAAAGCCTCCTTCACATCTTCCTCTCCTATCCCCTGACCTTAACCCACAAGGATGGGACACCTCCACTCCCTCCCTGGCAACTGATCACATGCCCATTACTATCCCATTAAAACCGAATCACTCTTACCCTGCTCAATGCCAGTATCCCATCCCACAACAGGCTTTAAGGGGATTAAAGCCTGTTATCACTCGCCTGCTACAGCATGTGCTTCTAAAACCTATAAACTCTCCTTACAATTCTCCCATTTCACCTGTTCAAAAACCAGACAAGTCTTACAGGTTAGTTCAGGATCTGCACCTTATCAACCAAATTGTTTTTCCTATCCACCCTGTGGTGCCCAACCCGTACACTCCTTTGTCCTCAATACCTTCCTCCGCAACTCACTATTCTGTTCTTGATCTTAAAGATGCTTTTTTCACTATTCTCCCCTACACCCCTCATCCCAGCCTCTCTTTGCTTTTACCTGGACTGACCCTGACACCCATCAGTCCCAGCAGCTTACCTGGGCTGTACTGCCACAAGGCTTCAGGGACAGCCCTCATTACTTCAGCCAAGCTCTTTCTCATGATTTACTTTCTTTCCACCCCTCCACTTCTCACGTTATTCAATATATTGATGACCTTCTTTTTAGCCCCTCCTTTGATTCTTCTCAACAAGACACCCTCCTGCTCCTTCAACATTTATTCTCCAAGGGATATCAGGTATCCCCCTTCCAAAGCTCAAATTTCTTCTCCATCTGTTATCTACCTTGGCATAATTCTTCATAAAAACATACATGCTCTCCCTGTCAAATGCATCTGACTGATCTCTCAAACCCCAACCCCTTCTGCAAAACAACAACTCCTTTCCTTCCTGGGCATGGTTGGATACTTTCGCCTTTGGATACCTGGTTTTGCCATACTAACAAAACCATTATATAAACGCACAAAAGGAAACCTAGCTGACCCCATAGATCCTAAATCCTTTCCCCATTCCTCTTTCCATTCCTTGAGGACAGCTTTAGAGACTGCTCCCACACTAGCTCTGACTCATCCCAACCCTTTTCATTACACACACGAAGTGCAGGGCTGTGCAGTCGGAATTCCTACACAAGGACTGGGACCGCGCCCTGTAGCCTTTTTGTCCAAACAACTTGACCTTACGTTTTAGGCTCTCCATCATGTCTCCATGTGGTGGCCGCCACTGCCCTAATACTTTTAGAGGCCCTCAAAATCACAAACTATGCTCAACTCACTCTCTACAGTTCTCGTAACTTCCAAAATCTATTTTCTTCCCCACACCTGACACACATACTTTCTGCTCCCCAGCTCCTTAAGCTGTACTCACTCTTTGTTGAATTTCCCAGTTACCATTGTTCCTGGCCCGGACTTCAATCTGGCCTCCCACATTATTCCTGATACCACACCTGACCCCCATGACTGTTATCTCTCTGATACACCTGGCATTCACTCCATTTCCCATATTTCCTTCTTTGCTATTCCTCACCCTGATCACACCTGGTTTATTGATGGCAGTTCCACCACGCCTAATCGCCACACACCAGCAAAGGCAGGCTATGCTATAGTACCTTCCACATCTATCATTGAGGCTGCTGCTCTGCCGCCCTCCGCTACCTCTCGGCAAGCCAAACTCATTGCCTTAACTCGAACCCTCACTCTTGCAAAGGAATTATGTGTCAATATTTATACTGACTCTAAATATGCCTTCCATATCCTGCACCACCATGCTGTTATATGGGCTGAAAGAGGTTTCCTCACTAAGCAAGGGTGGTCCAACATTAATGCCTCTTTAATAAAAACTCTTCTCAAGGCCACTTTACTTCCAAAGGAAGCTGGAGTCATACACTGCAAGGGCCACCAAAAGGCATCAGATCCCATCGCTCAGGGCAACACTTATGCTGATAAGATAGCTAAAGAAGCAGCTAGCGGTCCAACTTCTGTCCCTCATGGCCAGTTTTTCTCCTCATCTTGTCACTCCCACCTACTCTCCCACTGAAACTTCCACCTATCAATCTCTTCCCACACAAGGCAAATGGTTCTTGGACCAAGGAAAATATCTGCTTCCAGCCTCATGGGCCCATTCTATTCTATCGTCATTTTATAACCTCTTCCATGTAGGTTACAAGCTGCTAGCCCACCTCTTAGAGGCTCTCATTTCCTTTCCATCGTGGAAATATATCCTTAAGGAAATCACTTCTCAGTGTTCCATCTGCTATTCTACTACTCCTCAGGGATTGTTCAGGCCCCCTCCCCTTCCCTACACATCAAACTTGGGGATTTGCCCCCACCTAGGACTGGCAAATTGACTTCACTCACATGCCTCGAGTCAGGAAACTAAAATACCTCTTGGTCTGGGTAGACTGGATGGGTAGAGGCCTTTCCCACAGGGTCTGAGAAGGCCATCGTGGTCATTTATTCCCCTCTGTCAGACATAATTCCTCAGTTTGGCCTTCCCACCTCTATACAATCCTATAATGGACCAGCCTTTAGTCAAATCACCCAAGCAGTTTCTCAGGCTCTTGGTATTCAGTGGAACCTTCATACCCCTTACTGTCCTCATCTTCAGGAAAGGTAGAACGGACTAATGGTCTTTTAAAGACACATCTCACCAAGCTCAGCCTCCAACTTAAAAAGGACTGGACAGTACTTTTACTTCTTGCCCGTCTCAAAATTAGAGCCTGTCCTCAAGATGCTACAGGGTACAGTCCCTGTACTTTCTAGACAGATTTGGTGAGAACTCCCCAGATGTTTCACACCAACAAGCTACCACACTTCTCCACATCTACTTATAGCACCTTTCTCCTTATGTTAATTCCACGCTCCCCATATTTGGACCCCTAACCACACAAACAACTATCCCTGTTGCCACTCCTTTATGCATCTCCCGACAACAGCCTACTGGAATCCCTTTAGGCAACCTCCCACTGTCCAAATGTTCCTTTACTATCTCCAGAACCCAGCCACACACATTACCAAACAGGTGGGAGCATTCCAACTTTGCATTACTGATAAGCCCTCTATCATTACTGACAAACTAAAAAACATTGGCAGTCACTATTGTTTAGGAAGACACCTACCCTGCATCTCACTCCATCCTTGGCTACCCTCCCCCTGCTCGTCTGAATCTCCTCCTAGCTCCTCCTCTTGCTTTCTTATACCCAGCCCCATGAATAGCAGTGAAAGGTTACTTGTAGACACTATGTGGTTTCTCATACACCATGAAAACCAAACCTCTCCCTTTATGAGTTGCACCATCAATTCCCATTACAACCTCTAATGGCTGCTGCCCTTGCTGGATCTCTAGGATTTTGGGTGCTGGATTCCTCTTTCAGTACACCCTCTCACCTTTTCACTTTACATTTCCAGTAAATGTACACAAGGTCTCTTCTTTTTATGTGGCTCTTCCACCTACATGTGCCTACCTGCCAACTGGACAGGCACATGTACTCTAGTCTTCCTTACCCCCAAAATCCAGTTTGTAGATGGGAACGGACAATGACCTGTCCCCCTCATGACACCAACATGACAGAAAAAGAGTCATCCCACTAATCCCTTTACTTGTGGGTCTAGGACTTTCTGCCTCCACTACTGCACTCGGAACTGGAATAGCAGGCATCTCAACCTCTGTCAACATTCCACAGCCTCTCTAATGACTTCTCTGCTAGCATTACAGACATGTCACAAACTATCTGTTCTCCAAGCCCAGGTTGACTCTTTAGCTGCAGTTGTCCTCCAACCGCTGAGACCTCAATTTACTCACTACTGAAAAAGGAGAACTCTGTATATTTTTAAATGAAGAGTGTTGTTTTTACCTAAATCAATCTGGCCTGGTATATGACAACATAAAAAAACTCAAGGATAGAGCCCAAAAACTCACCAACCAAGCAAACAATAATGTTGAACCCCCTTGGACACGCTCTAATTGGACGTCCTGGGTACTCCCAATTCTTAGTCCTTTAATACCTATTTTTCTTCTTTTATTCGGACCTTGTGTCTTTTGTTTAGTTTCTCAATTCATATAAAACCACATCCAGGCCATCACCAATAATTCTATACGACAAATGCTCCTTCTAACCCTACAATATCACCCCTTACCCCAAAAATCTTTCTTCAGTTGAATCTTTCCCACTGTAGGTTCTGACGCCACGCCAATCCCGTTCAAAGCTGCCCTGAGAGACATCGCCCATTATCTCCCCATAACTCCCCCAAATTTTTCACCACTCCAACACTTCACCACTATTTTGTTTTTCTTATTAATATAAGAAGACAGGAATGTCAGGCCTCTGAGCCCAAGCTAAGCCATCATATCCCCTGTGACCTGCACGTATACATCCAGATGGCCTGAAGCAACTGAAGATCCACAAAAGAAGTGAAAATAGCCTTAACTGATGACATTCCAACATTGTGATTTGTTTCTGCCCCACCCTAACTGATCAGTGTACTTGTAATCTCCCCCACCCTTAAGAAGTTTCTTTGTAATTCTTCCCACCCTTGAGAATGTATTTGTGAGATCCACCCCCTGCCCACAAAACATTGCTTCTAACTCCACCACCTATCCCCAAACCTGTAAGAACTAATGATAATCCCACCACCCTTTGCTGACTTTCTTTTTGGACTCAGCCCACCTTCAGCCATGTGATTAAAAAGCTTTATTGCTCACACAAAGCCTGTTTGGTGGTCTCTTCACGTGGATGCGCATGACAATCAGCTCTTACTAGTTTTGTGATCTTGAGAACATGACTTTACCTCTCTAATCTTTATATGAAAGATGAGTTCTCTTCCCATACCTCATTGTTGGGATTTCAGAGCTGGAATCTTCTTCGTATTATGTGTCTATTGCCTAATCAGTGCCTGAAGTCAACAGTAGTCACTGCTTTTGCCCATGGATCTGCATATGAGCAGGCTTGGGGGGATGGGACAGACAGCTGGACCTGTCAGCAGGGGCAACCTGAGCATTCCTGGAAGTGGATTCTTTAGCCCTGGTCACATGGTTGGTGAGTCGATACAGGTTATTTCTTTTCAGATGTCTCTTCAAGGGGAAGCTTGGGCTTCCTCACAGCATGTCAGTGGTTTTCTCATAAAGCAACCTTTTTCAGTTACCGGCTCCTATCTCCACCCTGACTCCCTCCAGGTTACCAGCTCCTATCTCCACCCTGACTCCCTCTGGGTTACTGGCTCCTATCTCCACCCTGACTCCCTCTGGGTTACCGGCTCCTTTCTCCACCCTGACTCCCCCCGGGTTACCGGCTCCTTTCTCCACCCTGACTCCCCCCGGGTTACCGGCTCCTTTCTCCACCCTGACTCCCCCCGGGTTACCGGCTCCTTTCTCCACCCTGACTCCCTCTGGGTTACCGGCTCCTATCTCCACCCTGACTCCACCCGGGTTACCGGCTCCTTTCTCCACCCTGACTCCCTCCAGGTTACCAGCTCCTATCTCCACCCTGACTCCCTCCCAGGTTACCAGCTCCTATCTCCACCCTGACTCCCTCCAGGTTACCAGCTCCTATCTCCACCCTGACTCCCTCCAGGTTACCGGCTCCTATCTCCACCCTGACTCCCTCCAGGTTACCGGCTCCTATCTCCACCCTGACTCCCTCCAGGTTACCGGCTCCTTTCTCCACCCTGACTCCCTCTGGGTTACTGGCTCCTATCTCCACCCTGACTCCCTCCAGGTTACCGGCTCCTATCTCCACCCTGACTCCCTCTGGGTTACCGGCTCCTTTCTCCACCCTGACTCCCTCTGGGTTACCAGCTCCTTTCTCCACCCTGACTCCCTCTGGGTTAACGGCTCCTTTCTCCACCCTGACTCCCTCTGGGTTACCGGCTCCTTTCTCCACCCTGACTCCCTCTGGGTTAACGGCTCCTTTCTCCACCCTGACTCCCTCTGGTTTACCAGCTCCTTTCTCCACCCTGAATCCCTCCGGGTTACCGGCTCCTTTCTCCACCCTGACTCATTCTGATTTCCTTCTCTGTCATAACCATTTTTTCCCACCAAACCACTCACTCCAACTTTTTAAATTAGCCAATCAGAATTAGTTTAGCCTATGTGGTCTAACCCTAGCCAATAGGGGAACAACACAGCAGCAGGGGCTACATGTGTCAGGGGTAAGAACCCCTTCCCCTTCCTTGTTCAAGTGTGTGCTCACCATTGTTCCATCTATGAGGCTGTACCCTTCTCTAGAAGCAAATAGCCTTGCTGAGGATTAAAAAGAAAATTTTATATTCCAGTGCTATTTCTTTTGAAGCACCAAAACTTCAGTTATAACAATTTGGGGGCCCATCCAGGATTACGTTCCCCTCCAGGGGTGGTCTCTGGTTCTCTCTCATGAGGCATGCCCCACCCCTTTGTGGCGGCCTCAGGGGCAAGAAATCGGGACCCACCCAGTGTGAGGAATAACCTGAGCTCTCTGCAATGTGGAAAGAAATCGGCTGGCAACCTAGGGTAAAGGATCCTCCATAACGGCCACGCAAGTCTGTGCACAGACTGAGGAAAATACACCATAACCACGGGAGCCAGCAAAGTATTTCCTTAGTGGTCGGGACCAAGATAAGAAAGCCACAGCGGGGCAGTGAAGTATTCCCTGGTTGGGGTGGCTTAGAGGTGAAAACGAGGTGAGATATCCCCACTGGGGGGATCGAACCTTACACAAACCTCCAGTAGTAGAAAAGGCAAGAAATTTCCAGTGGGGGCAATTGAGCCTCACCCCAAAAGGCAAGAAATTTCCAGTAGGGGAAATTGAGCCTCACCCCAAAAGGTGAGAAATTTCCAGTAAGGGAAATTGAAGCTTACTCCAAAACCATCAAGATGGGAAATACCCCAAGCAAGACAGGGAGCAAGAGGGATAAAGATGGTAACAAAGATATTTCCCCAGATAGTCCCTAGGTCTCATGTTAAAATACTGGAAGGATAATGAAAGGACTAAACATAGGAAAAAGCAACAAATGATAAAATATTGCTCTTTTGTTTGAACTCAGGGACCAATCCTAAACCCTCAATCTTCTGGTCAAAGTTTGGGTCGAATGAGGATGTAATGTGTCAGCTTCTAATCCGATATGCTAATGATAAAAATCCAGTGTCTCAAGAAGAACTAGGCTAAGCCCTTTGTTGGAGGCAAAGACCTGCCTTCCTTTTCCCCTTAAAAACAAATAGGGAAGAACCCAATCTGGCACCTCAAAATGAGAAGTCAGAGGAGCCAGCTCTCATGCCTAAAGACTCCAGTACATGGTATCCCCTAGACCATCTTCCCCCACTCAGTGTCCCCAATCTTTCCCTTTAGGCAGCCACTGCTGCCTCAGATCCCATCCCAAATCTCCCCTCTACTCATGTTATCCCTTCTCCTTATAACCTTGACTCTTGGGAATTACCATCCCACCAGCCAGTTCTGTCCCAACCTAAATACCCCTCTCTAAGAGGACTCCACCATGAGGTAGCACAATGTAAAAAAGATATTCAGAATTTCCCATTTCCCTCTGTACCTAAGGGGTCAGCCCCAACCCTCTTCCCTTTGAAAGAGATACCACAAGGGGGGTGGGGGGAGGGCGTTGGCTTTGTAAATGCTCCCTTAACCAGTTCAGAAGTCTGGAATTTTAAAAAGGAGCTTAAACCACTATTAGATGACCCTTATGGAGTGGCAGACCAAAGTGACCAATTCTTAGGACATCATTTATACACTTGGATCAAGTTAATGTCCATCTTGGGCATGCTCTTTTCAGGGGAAGAAAGGAGTATCATTCGTAGGGCTGCTATGGTAGTTTGGGAACGTGAGCACCCTCCTGGTGAAAACGTTCCTACCTCAGACCAGAAATTCCCCACCTGACACCCCGGGTGGGACAATGCTGCAGATCACTGGGAAAATATGCAGAACATAAGGGAGTTAATAAAAGGAATTTGGGAATCAGTACCCCAAACCCAAAATCTTTCTAAAACATTTGATATATAACAGGAAAATGATGAAGGGCCTATGAGATTCCTAGACAGACTGAGGGAGCAAATGAGGCAATATGCAGGCCTCAGTTTGGATGATCCCCTTGGGCAAGGAATGTTGAAACTCCAATTTGTCACAAAAAGTTGGCCAGACATTTCAAAAAAGTTACAAAAGAGACAATTAGGGGACAGTCTTCCCAAGTGTATATGTGAAAAGGGACGAAGAAAAACAAACAGAAGACAAAACTTATGTTTTCTACCTTCCAAACAATGGCTCCAAACCCAGGTACTTCTAAGACAGTTTCCAGGGAGCCAGAAACTATAAAGGGTCCGAACCCTCTTTTAAAGGACCCCAGCCTCCATCTGGAGGACCAAGGTTCTCATCTACCAGGACCCCTAAAGAGTATGGGGGAACAGAGTTAAAGAATCCCTGAACTAAGAGGGAGGAAGGACAAGATAGGTGCTATAGATGTGGCAGAACAGGCCACTTCAAGAGAGGATGTCCTGAACTAAGAAAGGAGAAAGAAGCCCTTCGACTCATGACTTTTGAGGAAAAATAGGGGGGTCAGGGGCTCTTTTATCTTGAGTCCCATCAGAAGCCTTTGATAAATTTGGAGGTGGGACCTAAACATGAGCTTATCACCTTTTCAAGTTGATTCAGGGGCCACTTGCTCCTCTGTTCCCCACCCCCCCAGTCTAATGTTGTCTCCTCCTCAGAGGAACTTTTAGTCTCATGGGGTAAAAGAGGAAGGATTTAGAGCAAAAATTTTAGAAAGCACAGAAGTTAGATACCAGGATCTGTCAGCTCATATTCTGTTCTTGTTAATCCCTGAAGCAGGAACTAATTTACTGGGGAGGGATTTAATCTTAAAGTTAGGGATAGGTTTACAAGTCAGCCCAAGAGGATTCCTTACCTCATTAAACCTACTCACCACTGCAGATGAAAAATATATTAATCCTAATGTCTGGTCCAAAGAAGGAAACTGAGGGAAACTCCAAGTCCCTCTGATCCACATCAAGCTAAAAACCCATGGAGAAGTAGTAAGAAGGAAGCAGTACCCTAATTCCCCTAGAAGGTAGGATAGGGTTGAAACCTATAATTGAAGGCTTTATTAAGGATGGGCTTCTCAAGCCCTGTATGTCCCCTTATAACACCCCAATACTGCCAGTCAAGAAATCAGACAGGTCATACTGGCTAGTACAGGACCTTAGAGCTATTAACCAAATAGTCCAGACTACCCACCCCATTGTCCTGAATCCTTACACCATTTCTCAGCAAGATTCCATATAATCAATGGTTTACTGTAATAGATTTGAAGGATGTTTTTGGGCATGTCTCCTGGCTGAAGATAGCTGAGATACGTTTGCTTTTGAGTGGGAAGATCCCCACTCAGGGTGAAAACAATAATATTGATGGACAGTCTTGCCCCAAGAGTTCACAGACTCCCCTAATCTTTTTGGCCAGATTTTAGAAGTATTAGAAAAAGTTGTCATCCCAGAACAAATATGCCTTCTCCAGTATGTGGACGACATTCTTATAGCTGGTGAAGATATAGAGAAGGTCATTGACTTCTCTACACACATTCTTAACCATCTGCAGTTTGAGGGGCTACGAGTTCAAAAAGAAAGCGTCAGTATGTAGAGCCCAAAGTTAAATATTTAGGCCACTAAATAAGTGCAGGCAAGCGAAGAATAGGGCCTGAATGAATTGAGGGAATCGTTTCCCTACCCTTGCCTCAAACTAAACAAGAACTCAGGAAATTTTTAGGGTTAATTGGATACTGCTGCTTATGGATTGACTCATCTGCACTGCACAGTAAACTGTTGTATCAAAAACTTGCCCAGAAGAAGCCTAACCATCTCCTGTGGATTTCTGAGGAAGCTGATCAAGTTGAGAAATTGAAGGAAAGGCTCATAACTGCCCCTGTTTTAGCCTTACCCTCCCTAGAAAAGCCATTCCACCTTTTTGTCAATGTGGACAGTGGGGTAGCTTTAAGAGTGCTGACTCAAGAACAGGCCACCGGCAGCCTGTAGCCTTCCTATCAAAGGTCTCAGATCCAGTCACTCGTGGATGGCCCCAGTGCACCCAGTCCATCACAGCTATAGCAATACTAGTCAAGGAAAGCAGAAAGTTAACCTTTGGAAGAAAATTGACAGTAAGCCCACCTCACCAAATTAGAACTATCCTAAATCAGGGAGCAGGGAGATGGCTTACTGATTAGAGACTTTTAAAGTATGAGGCCATTTTGTTAGAAAAGGAAGATTTAACATTGACCACGATAATTCACTCAACTCAGCAGGTTTCCTAACAGAGAATCCAAATCTAAGGAGAGAACACACGTGTTTAGATTTAATTGATTACCAAACAAAGGTTTGACCAGGCATAGGAGAAACCCCCTTCTGGACTGGATGGCACTTATTCATAGACTGTTCCTCCCGGGTGATTGAGGGAAAAAGACACAATGGGCATTCAGTGATTGATGGAGAAACTCTCGTGGAAATAGAGTCAGGAAAATTGCCCAACAATTGGTCTGCTCAAACATGTGAGCTGTTTGCACTCAGCCAAGCCTTAAAGTACTTACAGAACCAGGAAGGAACCATCTATACCAATTCCAGGTATGCCTTTGGAGTGGCCCATACATTTGGGAAAATTTGGACTGAACGAGGTCTCAACAGTAAAGGTCATGTCCTTGTTCACAAGGAGCGAATCACCCAAGTATTGAATATCTTCACAGTTGCAGGAAGAAATAGCTATTGTCCATGTTCCTGGATACCAGGAAAGCCTTTCTTTTGAAAGTCAAGGAAATAACCTAGCAGATCAGGTAGCCAAGCAGGCTGCTGCGTCTTTTGAAATGCATATTTTTCACTTAACTCCCTACCTCCCTCCTCCTACCGTAATCCCCATTTTCTCTTCCACTGAAAAAGAAAAACTAATAAAAATAGGCGCTAAAGAGAATTCAGAAGGAAAATAGATATTGCCAGACCAGAGAGAAATGTTGTCTAAACCACCTCTTATGAGGGAAGTCTTCTCCCAACTACATCAGTGGACTCAGTGGTGGCCCCAGGCCATATGTGATGCCGTTCTCAGAGTTTATGGTTGTTTGGGAATTTATACCCTGGCCAAACAGGTTATACAGATAGTTGCTTAGTATGTAAGAAAACTAATAAACTATAAAAAAAGTTACCTCTCAGGGGAAGGAATCCAGGCTTAAGGCCATTCCAAAGTATCCAAGTTGATTACACAGAAATGCCTCCAATAGGTCCTCTAAAATATTTACTAGTGATAGTAGACCACCTCACTCACTGGGTTGAAGCTATCCCCTTTTCAAATGCAACAACCAATAATGTAGTTAAGGCCCTAATTGAAAATATAGTACCCAGTTTTGGACTAATAGAAAATATTGACCCAGACAATGGAACTCATTTCACTGCACATATTATTAAAAAGCTATCCCAAACATTAGACATTAGATGGGAACACCATACTCCCTGGCACCCACCCTCATCAAGGATAGTAGAAAGAATGAATCAGACTCTAAAGAACCACTTAACCAAATTAGTCTTAGAGACTTGATTGCCATGGACCAAGTGTCTACCTATTGCCCTGCTAAGAACCCGAACTGCACCATGGAAACATACTGGTCTTTCTCCTTATAAGATGCTCTACAGATTGCCTTATTTACACTCCACCGCTGATATTCCTACCTTTGAAACAAAAGATCAGTTCCTTAAAACTTATGTATTTGGTCTATCTTCTACTTTCTCTCCTCTTAAAACTAAAGGTCTATTAGCACAGGCACCACTCTTGGAATTCCCAGTGCATCAAACAGCCTGGGGATCACATCCTCATCAAGAGCTAGAAAGAGGAGAAGCTTGAGCCAGCCTGGGAAGGTCCTTACTTAGTGCTCCTAACTACTGAAACCACAGTCCACACAGCAGAGAGGGTGGACTCAGCATATTGGAGTCAAGAAGGTGCCACCCCCTCCAGAGTCATGGGCCATAGTCCCAGGGGAAAACCCTACCAAACTAAAGCTAAGAAGAATTTAACTCTTTCATCTATTCTATTACTCTTTCTTCTTTCTTCACTCTATCGCTGACCATCTGTAGTTATTAACATAACTAAGACAATTTCGCCTCAAACTATTGCATTTGATGCTTGCCTCGTTATACTCTGTGGGGACTTGTCAAGTCAAAGACAGCTCTCTACTTCAGAAAAGTACCTCTGTCCCTCCTTGCTCTCCTCAGACTGGGCATTAGTGAATTGAGACCATTTAATCTGGGGAGATTTTGATAAAGACCCCAGTGCCAACTAGGAGTCTTGCCTCCCTGATGTAGAGCTTTTATGCCGTAGTTGGTCTGATGTTCTGTGGATCACCAAACAGCAAGGATGGACTGCCCCAGTTTGTAATTTCTTAAAATCATACATTCATTTTACCAAAGGGACAGCCCCCACTGTCAGCTAAACCAGTACAATCCTATACAGGTTATTATCTCAAGCCCCCAAAGTTCTTCCCCTTTTCTAAGCTGGTTCCCTTCTTTAAGCCAGTTTTATTGTATGGGGGCTGAGGTTTCAGGGACAGACCCTATTGGATTCTTTGAAATGTGTTTCTTTGATCCCCTGCCACCTGCACCTTCCTCTAAGCCTCCTTCCAAAACCTCTTACAACTGAACCATTGTTCCTCCTCCATCTAACAAGGCCAAGATAGTGATGGTAGAAGTTAAAGACTTAAAACTTTGGCAATTGAGACAGGATACCAAGATGCAAATGCCTGGTTGGAATGGATCAAATATTCCATCCGCACATTAAACAAAAGCAATTGTTATGCTTGTGCACATCACAGGCCAGAGGCCCAGATTGTCCCCTTTCCACTAGGGTGGTCCTCCAGTCGACTGGGGGTGGGCTGCCTGGTAGCTCTTTTCCAGGATTCTACAGCCTAGGGTAAAAAGTGGTGCCAAGCTGTCTCTCTGCTATATCCTGAAGTCTGACACCCTGCGGGTCAGCCCCTGAGGACCATCCAGCTTCTGTATCCCAACACCAAGTTCACTTTGTGTCTCTCACGACAGGGAAGAAACTTAGCGTTCCTTGGGGACCTGAGGGGATGCAGTGAGCTTAAGAATTTTCAAGAGCTTATCAATCAGCCCTTGTTCACCCCCAAGCGGATGTGTGGTGGTATTGTGGTGGACCTTTACTGGACACTCTGCTGAATAACTGGAGTGGCAACTTGTACTTTAGTCCAATGGGCTATCCCTTTCACCCTGGCATTTCATCAACCAGAGGAAGGAAAAATAAGACATCGTAAAGCTAGAGAAGCCCCTTATGGGTCTTTTGACTCTCACATCAATTTAGACACAACTGGAGTCCCACAGGGGATACCAGATCAATTTAAAGCCCGAAATCAAATAGCTGCAGGATTTGAGTCAATATTTTGGTGGTAACAAAAATTTAGATCGGATAAACTACATCTATTACAACCAACAGCAATTAACTACACTAGAGTTGCTGTTAAAAGAATAGCTGAACAATTAGGGGCTACTAGCCAGATGGCTCAGGAAAATAGGATAGCCTTAGACATGACATTAGCAGAAAGAGGAAGAGTTTGCATCATGATTAAAACTCAATGTTGCACCTTCATCCCAGACACCACCACCCCTAATGGAAGTATAACAAAGGCATTGCAAGGTCTGACTGCTCTATCCAATGAGTTAGCCAGCAACTCAGGGGTAAATGACCCATTTACAGGATTGCTAGAAAAGTGGTTCAGTAAATGGAAAGGAATAATAGTCTCAATTCTTACCTCCCTCGCAGCCATAATAGGTATACTTATTTTTGTCGGGTGCTGTGTCATACCATGCATCCATGGGTTGCTGCAGAGGCTCATAGAAACAGCACTAACTAAAACCTCCCTTAACTATCCTCCACCTTATCCAGAGAAGCTTCTTTTGGAAAATCAAGCAGAACGACTAAGCCAAGACATGTTAAACAAGTTTGGAGAGAAAGAGCTGTAAGGAAATGCAAGAGGAGGGGCTGTTAGATATGAGTTCTAAATTTCTCTTCAAAAGAATGTCAGTATGTTCAATTCTTTGCGTTCTACTTTTAAACTTAACTTCCTTGTGAAGCAACCTTTTTCAATCACTGCCCATCTCCACCCTGGCTCACTCTGGGTTACCAGCCCCCGTCTCTACCCTGGCTCATTCCAGGTTACCTGCTCATTCTCCACCCTCATTCCTGTTACCTGCTTATTCTCCATCCTGACTCATTCCGATTTCCTTCTCTGCCATAACCATTTTTCCCGCCAAACCACTCACCCCACCACTCTTTAAATTAGCCAATCAGAATTAGTTTAGCCTGTGCAGTCTAACCCTAGCCAATAGGGGTACGACACAGCAGAAGGGGCTATGTGTGTCAGGAATAAGAACCCCTTCCTCTCCCTTGTCCAAGTGTGCACTCACTACTGCTCCATCTGTGAGGGTACACCCTTCCCTAGAAGTAAATTGCCTTGCGGAAGATTAAAAAGAAAATTTAATATTCGAGTGCTATTTCTTTTGCGGCACCAAAACTTTATTTATAACATTATGACTGCTATTAGCACCACAGATTTGTAGGAGGGCTACTACTGTGTGACACTGTCCAGGCTGGAAGTAGGAATGTTATCTGGAGGCATTGCCCAGATTCTCCAGTGAACTTAATTGGATTTGAAGCTGGAGGAAGACTGCCAGCATTTAGCTTCTCCCAGCATTCAGAGGGGGAAGGATGGGTTAAAGAGAGCTCCATGTGACAGCCCTGGAGATGGGCTGCTTGAATTGCTTTTCAAGGCAAGCCTTGCCATTCAGCTGTAGGATGGCAGGTAGCTGCAGTGCCTTTGGGATCCATCGCAGCACTTGTCACTGTGGTCTCCCCAAGCAAATCCAGCTGATGACTGAGCACAGTAGGGGTAGTAGTGCCTGGCCATTTCTGCCCAATGCAGCATAGCTTTGAGCAGTCTTTGGAGCACATCACTGGGGCTTCAGACCTTATATCTGCATCATGACCTGAGGCTCTCCTTGTCTGCTTTCTCTCCTTTAATCCTACATAGGTTTCACCCAACATCCAGAGAAAGTGTCCACTGTAACAGCTGGGTCCTCCAGTAAGCAGTTGCTAGCACAAATCAATGTACTTCCCAGGGAGAAATTGGGGTGGTAGGGTGCAGTACACAAGGGATCTGTGTATGCACAAGCGTGTATAAAAGGTTTCAGATGCAACACCAGTTGTAGCCTTATGCCAAGCCTCCCTCCATCCTATTGATTTCACGCCCCATGCCCCCCCCCACCACCTCCCACATCAGGCAGGACAAGCCTGCTCAGGTAGCCACAACTTCCCAGGGGGCTCAACCCCAGCCCCTCCTGAGGAATCTTTGAAGTGTAATTGCTGTCCCAGGATGTGCTGGTGCCGAAGAATATATCAAGATGCTAAATGCTAGCATTCTTCCTTCAGCTCCAGAGCCAAAACTAATACAAACACCCCATCCCCCCAGGTATTACTCTAATTCCATCAACAGGCTGACAAGGCCTGACCTCATCATGGGACCCCTCTGACTTATGGCCTTACCAACAGAGGCAGTGTCTTGAGACCTGAGCTAGATACCTGGTACCTACCTGGGAGGACAGTGGTTCAAGAGATGAGCAGCCACCCCAGACCTGCAGCTGGAAGTGCCATGGTCATCCTCAGGGAAGAGCCTTAAGCTGAGGGATTTTCTGGGTGGAAGGAAGAGAACAGAGTCAAGCTGTTTAGGGTAGACACATTACTTCTTGCATTGCCCTTTTCCCAAGTTAGCCGACTTGGGAAGAGGAAAAATCAATTCCAAATTGTTAGTAGCATGAAATGGAGGTAGTATGAGGTCTTGTCCCCTGTGCTACTCAGCTGACAAGCTCTGCTTTTTATTTTAGCAATATCATGAGAAGATTGAGCAGAGTTCCCACTAGGAAAAATGATAGGATCTTTAGCTTTACAGTAAATCATATATATAGAGGAAAGTATAGATTAGTATAGAACATGATGAATTTCAAAGTGAACCCTCAAGTACAGCCATAATTACACAAGTCACCCTATGTTGATTCGTTTAAGATCTGCTTTCCAGAAGCTTGTCCCATAAGCTTTCCTCCTACATGCAGATAAATCTCACCTGGTACATCTATTCTTTTATGAGGTTTTAAACTACCTGACAGGGGATGATCCCAGCACATGGAGCCAGAGCTGGCTGCAACCCAGGGTCTTTTGGATTAGTAGATGATGATTGCTAACTAGATTGAAGGGTAATCCTGTCCTCACTTCCATGTTTCATTTCCATCACATGTGCTATTGATGCCAGACAGTTTGCTCTCAACTATGGATCTAAATAAATCCAGGTTCAAATCCCATCTCTACCTCTATTTTAAAACAAGTGCTAGGCCCATTTTAAAGTTAAACTGAGCTTAACAGCTACATCTATTCTCTACAAGTCTTTGAGGTATGCTTGGTCGCAGTGCTGGATAGAAAGCAAAGAGACCACATGGGTACCCTGTGCATTCCCATCATAGGGTCTGCTCTGGGACCTAGATGGAAGTTACCAGATGCTCTCGGGATCCACTAGTGGGGATCTTTCCACTCAAGGAAGTGGAACTAGTGAGGGAAGGAAGTATATAAGGGTATAAATATCACATAAAGTCCCACAGAGGGTAACTGGCTCAATTCCACAGCAGAGCCCTGGAGACAACATACATCTCTTCAGTTGGCCTTGTGGGTGTGAGGGAGCTGGAGTATTCATACCTACCCCTGCATCCTTCAGTTGTTAGTTAAAAAGCACCTGATTCTCCATGTGTGCAGTCAAGGCAGCCTGAGGCCCATCCTTCAACGATAGAGCACTGGCTGTTAAGAGGCAAAGTGTCGGGAGCCAGTGGCTGTGAAAATGGCAAAGAACCCAAGGGATGTAGAAAGAATCCCCGGGCATCTTCTGTATCCACAAAGAACAAGCCCTAGGATAGGAGATACTTCCAAGATGCTAATTTCTGTTAATGAAGCAGCTGTCCCAGAATTGAGTTCAGATCCCTGCACCTTCAGCCTTTTAAGCCATAGTTTCGCCTGCTCGCATGCAGCTTTCTTTAATTGTACAGAGAACCAGTCGGAGAACTACGTTCCAGTGAGAACTGAGAAAAACCAGGAATATTCTCACTGCATTGAGAATATCACACTTAATTTTTGATCTCTTGTCCACAAGGGGCTTTAATGTAGTAGTGGGGACAGGAGGTATAGAGTCGATGTCAGTCACAGCAGCAGAACAGAAAAGAACTTAAGCAGGAAGAGGCCCCAGCAGGAGAGTATCAATGATGGCAGCAATGGTGGTGAGATCGGATAGGACAACTGTATCAGGCACAATGTGGAGGGAATCTCCTTATGACTAAGGCAGGGAGACCACAGTAAAAATAGAGGCTCTAAGTATGCAGGGGCCACCCTAGTGCAGGGGATTCCAATGGTAGGGAGGATCATATACATTTCTGATACCAGAAAGGGTCAATCTTCCTCTCTATAGTCGAACACAGGCCAAAAATAGGCTGACAGCAGGATCTCTGAGTGGGTGTGCTGATTATTTGGTTTGCCTCCAGAGATCTAGCCTATCATTTTTCACTCTGTCCTGTGCTCAGAGAGGATCATCTGTTTGTCTTCACCTAGAAGACAGGGCAAGAGAGTGAGTAGATGTAGTCAATGAGAGGCACCAGCAGGTGACGGAAAGACAAGTGGAGGGAGGGTAGTCAGTTGCCTTCTCCCCAGCCAGGGGCCACTTCCCTTTATGACTTCGGCTTCCATGATAACAGCTCAGTCAGGCCCAGGAGCACTGGTTACTTCTCTGTCCTCTCAGCTCTGGGAGAGTTGGGGTGGTCATGAAGCCCTGAGACTGTAGAGGGACATGCCAACTTCTTGTTAGTTCCCTCAACCCTGCCCATGCCTATGGGTAATCAGAGATGGATTCTATCTCCAGTTAGGATCCTGATAGTGGTATTTGTGTGGGGGATTCCATGCAAATGGTGTGTGGACAGAAGGTGAGTTGACTATGAGAAGGTCAGCTCACAGGCCAGTAGACTTCCTGATGCACAGCACACACCATTGCATGAAGTAACTGGGACTCAAGCTTCCTTCTTCCAACTCAATCAGGATATGAGAGCATTGGTACATGGTGACAGCGTTCAGGAATCAGATCCAAGGAGAGAAAGATAGCTTCATGTATCAAAGTGGAGATGTCCTTGTAAGAAATGACATCTTTGGAGGGTCAGCCCTTCCCTGAGAACTTCTTCACTCTGTCCTGTGTTCAGAGAAGATCACCTGCTTGTCTTCACCTGGAAGACAGGACAAGAGAGCAAGTAGATGTAGTCAATGAGAGGCACCAGCAGGTGATAGAAAGTGGAGGAGGTTGGGTAGTCCGTCGCCTTCTCCCCAGCCAGGGACCACTTTTCTTTATGACTTCAGCTTCCATGACAACAGCTCAGTCAGGAGGATTCCAGAAGCCTGTTACCAGAAGCACTGGTTACTTCCCCCGTCCTCTCAGCTCTGGGAAGGGTGGGGTGGTCATGAAGTCCTGAGAGAGCAGAGGGACACACCAACTTCTCTTGTTGGTTCCCTCAACCCTGCCCATACCTATGGGTAATCAGAGATGGATTCAGTCTCCAGTTAGGATCCTCATCAAGGTATTTGTATGGGGGATTCCATGCAGATGGTGTATAGAGAGAAGATAGACACAAGGTGAGTTGACTATTATGAGAAGGTCAGCTCACAGGTCAGTAGACTTCCTGATGAAGGACAGAACACCATTGCATGAAGTAACTGGGACTCAAAGCTTCCTTCTTCCCACTTGACCAGGATATAAGAGCTTTGGTCCACAAGGACAGGTTCAGGAATCAGATCCAAAGAAAGAAAGACAACTTCATGTATCAGAGTGAAGTGGAGATGTCCTTATGAGAAATGACATTGTTAGAAGTTATCAGGGAAGGGCAGACCCTCCCCAGTGAGGGCTCACATTCATGCCCCTTTGGCAAAACCAAGTTGACCACACTTATCCCAGTAATCTATCCTGGAAAGGCCTTTGGGCAGAGATAGAGAGCGTTTTGCTTAGAAATCTACTTTCAGACCAACTGAGGGCCATTCCAGAGCCCCACAGGACAGGACAGAAGACAGCCCAGGTTTTCATAGAGGGGACTGAGCTCACTCAGGTGAAGGATCCCACTACTAGGAACTTGGTTGTATAGTCTCAGGAGTATCTCGGTAGAATTCCACTGCATCACATAGGGATGACCAGAACTTGAAGTCCCTATACCTAAGGTTTTTATTTCTGTTCCTTCTGTCTCTATGAGGACCCAGGAACCAAGAATTATTTAAGCAGGGTCTAGTTCCCTATTTCTAGAGAATTATACTACCCTCACAAAAACTTCTGAGACTGCAGAATTTTAAATAGTGACTGTTTAACATTTCTTGTCAACTAAACCCACTCTCATTAGCAAGGGCCAAGAAATTGCCACTGAAGAACATATTCAGTTTGATTCTTCTCACTAGCAGAAGAGGCTAGATAATGCCAAGCCTTTAAAATCCTTGAACTGCAGTCATGACTGCAGGTTTGAATACAATGCTTCTCTTATGCTCACTTGCAAGAGCATACAAAGTCTCAAGCCACCTAATTGCCAACAGAGGGAAGACAACATACCCTTCGACTCTTGTTCTATGGCTTCAGAGGGTAGGACACAATTATCTACTTTGGGACCATTCCTTGACTTCAGATGTGGTTGAATCCTGGTCAATTTTCCCATTTGTTCTCTAGTGAACTCTCATTCCCCTTCAACTTGAAGGGCAGTGACTAAACATTCCACAGATGAAGCCCAGTTTTACTTTGAAGTATGCTAGCATTTGCATTTACACCATCACTATTGGTAGTACTTTACTGTGGTATAGAAAGAAGTCATAATTCCTGCTGTACTGTCTATAGCACCATTGTGTACTGTACACAGATACCTAATTAGTACATTAAATGTTATTTAGGAAAACAATGCTTGTTTTGTTTGAGTTCCTTTGATTGTCATGGGTTTTAAGAGGGCTTTAGTGATACATGGGGGAAACTGATTGGGGGTTTTAGGTTGGTTGGGATTGCATTATTTTCCCCATCTAAAACTTTGGATAGCAGGAGTCCATATCCCACTTTCAAGGATAAATTAGAAGAGATGCATGTAAATTTAAACACATTTGACATTTGCAGAAGCCATGATGGAACACATGATCTCATCTTCATTTTGATCTTAAGTATAGGTCAGAAGAAGATTATTCCAGCCCAAGAAACCTCTGTAGTCTAAAGGGTACACTAACAGGACTACTGGGGAGCTGTGGTCTTTATGGGGAGTGAACATCATTTTGTTGGTTGCTCTTTGGGTGTTCAGCAATGAGAAGAGTCAGACTTTTCAAAGGCTGGCCAGCAGAAGCTTGGCAAAGGCTCTTTAGGATTTCATGCTGCTGCCTGAGGGTGGAGGACATTGCTGATTAGTGTCAGAGCTAGCTCCCCACAAAAAGGATACCAAGTTGGGAATGAGAATGCGGTTCCCTTGGCATCTTTAGTAAGTCTCTGGTAAATAAAAACTTGGTGAAATGGTCATTGACTGCAGTCCTGCACCATGATTTTCCTCTGGGGACTCAGTGGGTTTTATTGGCTCCTGTTTCATGCATAACGTAGGTGACGAAAGAGTCCAGGCCCAGCCTGGAAATCCTAAGATGCATAGGTCCACATCAAGGGGACACAGGTAACAGCAAAGCAGGCAGATTGCAACATTGACAGAGCCAGGTTTAGAGACGATAAACTTGTTCTTTGGAAACGAACTTAGAACTGGCTTCAGTACTGAACATGCCTAGAGGTATGAGTTCCTATGAATGAAGGGTAAGAATGTGACAAGTATGGTGGCCCATCTGTCCTTACAGGGATCTTCATAGCCAAGGACTGGATTTGAACAAGTCAGTCTCCAGCTATGTTTTAGACACTGAGGACTGTGCCCGTCATCCCTTAGAGCTTCTCTCTGGGCCACTGGCTCGAAGGGCACATCTCAGGGAAAAAGGTCAGTGTGATTCCCTTATTTCTTTGTGGAAAGACCTCAGTAGCCAAAGGTGTTTGCCCGTGTTATTTGTCTGAACAAGATCTTCTCTAGGACAGCTAGGTCCACAGGACAGCACCAAGAGTTACTCTGCATGCTTATAGTACCTGCTTACGAACAGAAACAGAGGCAATATTCACATGAAAGCTCAAATGTGGATCTCTCCTACCATAGTCACGTCTTCACAAGCTGACAGCCCTCTCAATTCTGAGATTTGTTATTCAGTCTTTTCCCAATAGGATCTACAAAGCACCTCTTGACCATTTATCATGCATGGAACCAACATGTCAAATTCCTCAATAACTGATTCCCGCCTAGGATCACACTCATTGACTAGCTCCGCCAATTCTTACAATTCATTCAGGCTCTGCTACAAGCATACAGCTTTGCTAGAAGTAGATTTCTTCTAGGAAATTTCATGCTACTGAGAGGTTGTGTGGCAGAGCCATGTTGCCATTCTTCCAGCATGACTTGATAGCTAAGTTGAACACTATCCCAAGGAGATGCCTCCTTGACAACTTACACTGCAAAGTGAATCATAACCCTGACCCTGGAGACTGCTATAACGGGCTCCTGTGAGAGTTCTATTTGCAGAACCCAGAATTCACAACGGAACATCAACATATCCAAAAGACAAGTTTCAATGAACAGATTCTCAGCAAAAGGACTCTAAGGATGCAGAGGAAGGGAAGTCACCCAATCTGGGAAGGAGGTACGTAGAAGAGTGTTACTATAGCAGGACGCTCACTTGAACTTGGGTTGTGTGTGAGTTCCCACCACTCTCTGGTGAGAATGACTCATTGTGCCCAAGTCACTTGTGCAAACAATGTGGTATATGAACACCTTTTCTTGGAGTTTGGAATTTGAATATGTACTAAAGCAGAGGATGCCTATTTTGGCTAGACCTCAATTAAAACCTTAGGTGCTGAGTTTCTAACAGGCTTCCCTGGCAGAAGACACATCATGAGTTTTACTCATAGCTGGGGAGTTAAGCCTTGGTGACCGCACTGGGAGAAGGCACTCAAGCTTGTGTTTTCTTCCAGACCTTGCCCCAGTGCCTTTTCTCTTAGCTGATTGTGCTTTGGATCTTTCATTGTGTAAGTAATAGCCATCAGTACAGCCATGGCTGTACTGAGAGTCCTACTTGTGAATCATTGACACTGGGTACAGTGGAGATCCCAACACAGTGGGTACCTAATTTTTGCCTGGAAACAGCATAATCTCAATTTCTAAAGGGCTACATACGTTTTGGGAAGTATGTATAATGTGTAACCAGGAAGGACTAAAGACCCTGGTATCTATTCCTAAAGATTTGCTATCCCTGTTTAAGGGTAAACATTTCTTCATATTCCTTGGTATGAGATGCCTCTCCCCATTCTTGCCAGCCTGGATTTTTTTTTTTTTTTCCCTCAAGGTGGAGTTTTGCTCCTGTTGCCCAGGCTGGAGTGCAATGGTGCAATCTCAGCTCACTGCAACCGCCGCCTCCTGGGTTCAAGCAATTCTCCTGCCCCAGCCTCCCTAGTAGCTGGGATTATAGGCACGTACCACCACGCCCGCATGATTTTTTGTATTTTTAGTAGAGATGGGGTTTCTCCATGTTGGTCAGGCTGGTCTCAAACTCCTCACCTCAGGTGATCCGCCTGCCTCGGCCTTCCAAAGTGCTGGGATTAAAGGTGTGAGCCACCGTGCCCAGCTGCCTGCATTTTTTTTTAAACCAGTGTGACAAATGTATCCAATGTTTTATATGAGAACATGCATTTCCTTATGTTTGCTGTCCATTTGTGTTGTCTCAAAAATTTCTCATATTTGTACATTTTTCTTTTTCCCTTAATGCCACTAATAGGCCAAGTGTTCAGTTTGCTCTTTTATGTTTAAAAGGCAAGGTGCTTAACCAAAGACTAGCTTATTCTATTTAATATAGCATTTTTTTACACCACCTAGTTCTGTTAGCTGCTCTAACCTCAGCTCTGGCATACAGGAAAAAGTTCTACAGCTACAGCTTGTAAGCAGTAATGAAAGAGAATTGAGTATATCAACTCCAAATTTGAGTGTTAGAATTCTAAGTCATTGTTACTAAGAGTTGTACATTTACATAGATATCTAGTCTAATTATTACTATCATTATGGAGCGGCTTCATGCCTGGTAATACTCCTTGCTCCAAGGTGTTTTGATACTGACACAGCCACTCCAGCTTTCTTCTGACCTGCGTTAGCATGGTGCATCTTCCCATCATTAACCATTTGTGTCTTTGGATAAAGACTCAACCATAGGCTGCCTACAAGAAACTTATTTTTATGAACTTTGATGATCCATACACTTTAGTAGTGCTATTTGGGTCATATTTATCTCATGTTTAGATTTAAGTATGCCATCTATTTTTGTGTAATTTGTTTTCATTTTTTCTGCCTGCTTTTATTATCCTATCTCCTTTGTCTACTTTTAGCTATAACTGTTTTGGTTGCTTTAGGGCTTACAGTATATGCTTAAACTTCCAGTCCACCTTGAATATGCCACTTCACATACAAGAAGCTATACTTCCTTCTCCCAGACTTTGTGCTATAGTCATTTCACTTCTACATGTTATAAACCCTGTGATACGTTGTTTAAACTGAGTTATCTTTAAAGTAAATTAAGTCTTGACCTACATATTTACTATTTCTGGAGATTTACTTGGCATTTCTTCCTCCTACCTGAATTTCTTTAGCATTTCTTATACCACAATAGAAGTCTGCCAATGATAAAAGATGGAAAGACAGAAGCTGAAATTGTTTTGCTTTTGTGTAAGATTCACTAGGAATAAGTATGTTGTCAGATTTTCTCAGTACTTTATGATATACCTTAGTTAAGGGAATTTTAAAAGTATAATGTATAGCAGAATGAGAAACATTTCTTTAGAAGCAATTCAAGCCAGAAGACAGTGGGCAACATTTTAAATAAGATTGCTTAAAAACAAGCAACAATTCATCATGTTTTTTGAAGTTCACTGGGCTCCTGGCATCTGTGGGTTTATGGTTTTCATGAAGTTTGGAACATTTTGGCCATGTTTTTGTCCCTCCCCTGCCCTTCAGGGACTCCAATTACAGCCACGTACCTGTGTTTCACTCCATGGACAGTGTATAAGATGGTGTTCCCATAAGATTAGTGGAGCTGAAAATTCCTGTTGCCTAGTGATGCCGTAGCTGTCATAATGTTGTAGTGCAATGCGTTACTCATGTTTGCAGCAATGCTGATGTAAACAAACCTAATAGACTGCCAGTCATCTGAAAGTATAGCATACAGTTATGTGCAATACATCATACTTCAGTGATTGCTTACTGGTTTATCTACTATTTGAGTATTTCCCTCTACATATCAAGTTAACTAAGACAGACACAGGCAGGTCCTTCGGGAGGCATTCCAGAAGGATGCATTGTTATCATAGGAGATGACAGCCCCATCCATATTACTGCCTCTGAAGATCTTCTAGTGGGACAAGGTGTAGAGGTAGGGAACAGTGCTATTGGTGATCCTGACCCCGTGTAGGCCGAGGCTACTTTGTGTGCTGACATCTTAGCTTAACGAAGGTCTAAAGGGTAAATAGAAACAAGCTTATAGAATAAGGATAAAAACATTCTTGTATGTATGTACAGTGTTTTAAGCTAAGTATTATCAAAATTTCAATTACAGTTAAGGAGTTTAAGTTAAAGATAATTTGGTACTAAAGTTTTATTAAGTTAGTATAGCTTAAGTATATTATGTTTACGAAGGCTACAGTAGAGTACAGTATCATCCCAGGTCTTTACATTCACTGACTCACAGCAGCTTCCAGTCCTGCAGGCACCATTCATGGTAAGTGCCCTATACAAGTACAGGTCATCCTTTACACCCTATTTTTACTATACTTTAAGATGAAAATAATGTTGTGTTACAGCTGCCTATGGTATTCAGTAATATGCTACACAGGTTTGTAGCCTAGGAGCAGGCCATATCATATAGCCTGGGTATGAGTAAGCTATACCATCTAGCTTCACATAAGTCACTAGTCTTGTCTTTTTTTTTGTACTTATTTATTTATTCATAATTTCAACTTTTTATTTTTTTTTATTATTATACTTTAAGTTTTAGGGTACATGTGCACAACGTGCAGGTTAGTTACATATGTATACATGTGACATGCTGGTGCGCTGCACCCACTAACTCGTCATCTAGCATTAGGTATATCTCCCAATGCTATCCCTCCCCCCACCCCACAACAGTCCCCAGAGTGTGATGTTCCCCTTCCTGTGTCCATGTGTTCTCATTGTTCAATTCCCACCTATGAGTGAGAATATGCGGTGTTTGGTTTTTTGTTCTTGCGATAGTTTACTGAGAATGATGATTTCCAATTTCATTCGTGTCCCTACAAAGGACATGAACTCATCATTTTTTATGGCTGCATAGTATTCCATGGTGTATATGTGCCACATTTTCTTAATCCAGTCTATCATTGTTGGACATTTGGGTTGGTTCCAAGTCTTTGCTATTGTGAATAGTGCCACAATAAACATACGTGTGCATGTGTCTTTATAGCAGCATGATTTATAGTCCTTTGGGTATATACCCAGTAATGGGATGGCTGGGTCAAATGGTATTTCTAGTTCTAGATCCCTGAGGAATCGCCACACTGACTTCCACAATGGTTGAACTAGTTTACAGTCCCACCAACAGTGTAGAAGTGTTCCTATTTCTCCACATCCTCTCCAGCACCTGTTGTTTCCTGACTTTTTAATGATTGCCATTCTAACTGGTGTGAGATGATATCTCATTGTGGTTTTGATTTGCATTTCTCTGATGGCCAGTGATGGTAAGCATTTTTTCTGTGTTTTTTGGCTGCATAAATGTCTTCTTTTGAGAAGTGTCTGTTCATGTCCTTCGCCCAATTTTTGATGGGGTTGTTTGCTTTTTTCTTGTAAATTTTCATTGTAGATTCTGGATATTAGCCCTTTGTCAGATGAGTAGGTTGCGAAAATTTTCTCCCATTTTGTGGGTTGCCTGTTCACTCTGATGGTAGTTTCTTTTGCTGTGCAGAAGCTCTTTAGTTTAATTAGATCCCATTTGTCAATTTTGGCATTTGTTGCCATTGCTTTTGGTGTTTTAGACGTGAAGTCCTTGCCCATGCGCCTATGTCCTGAATGGTAATGCCTAGGTTTTCTTCTAGGGTTTTTATGGTTTTAGGTCTAACATTTAAGTCTTTAATCCATCTTGAATTGATTTTTGTATAAGGTGTAAGGAAGGGATCCAGTTTCAGCTTTCTCCATATGGCTAGCCAGGTTTCCCAGCACCATTTATTAAATAGGTAATCCTTTCCCCATTGCTTGTTTTTCTCAGGTTTGTCAAAGATGAGATAGTTGTAGATATGCAGCGTTATTTCTGAGGGCTTTGATCAAGTGGGCTTCATCCCTGGGATGCAAGGCTGGTTCAATATATGCAAATCAATAAATGTAATCCAGCACATAAACAGAACCAAACACAAAAACCACATGATTATCTCAATAGATGCAGAAAAGGCCTTTGACAAAATTCAACAACACTTCATGCTAAAAACTCTCAATAAATTAGGTATTGATGGGACGTATCTCAAAATAATAAGAGCTATCTATGACAAACCCACAGCCAATATCATATTGAATGGACAAAAAACTGGAAGCATTCTCTTTGAAAACTGGCACAAGACAGGGATGCCCTCTCTCACCACTCCTATTCAACATAGTGTTGGAAGTTCTGGCCAGGGCAATTAGGCAGAAGAAGGAAATAAAGGGTATTCAATTAGGAAAAGAGGAAGTCAAATTGTCCCTGTTTGCAGATGACATGATTGTGTATCTAGAAAACCCCATTGTCTCAGCCCAAAATCTCCTTAAGCTGATAAGTAACTTCAGCAAAGTCTCAGGATACAAAATCAATGTACAAAAATCACAAGCATTCTTATACACCAATAACAGACAAACAGAGAGCCAAATCATGAGTGAACTCCCATTCACAATTGCTTCAAAGAGAATAAAATACCTAGGAATCCACCTTACAAGGAACGTGAAGGACCTCTTTAAGGAGAACTACAAACCACTGCTCAATGAAATTAAAGAAGATACAAACAAATGGAAGAATATTCCATGCTCATGGATAGGAAGAATCAATATCATGAAAATGGCCATACTGCCCAAGGTAATTTATAGATTCAATGCCACCCCATCAAGCTACCAATGACTTTCTTCACAGAATTGGAAAAAACTACTTTAAAGTTCATATGGAACCAAAAAAGAGCCTGCATCGCCAAGTCAATCCTAAGCCAAAAGAACAAAGCTGGAGGCATCACGCTACCTGACTTCAAACTATACTACAAGGCTACAGTAACCAAAACAGCATTGTACTGGTACCAAAACAGAGATATAGATCAATGGAACAGAATAGTCTTGTCTTTCAAATCTTTCATGCCTCCATTTAACATGTTCAGTCTTCTTTCTCAAACATATGGGTTGTAGGTATCTGTTTTAGTGTCCCTGTTCTAATTATGATTTCTAGACCTGTTTTTATTGATCTTATGAGTTGTACTTTTATAATTTAGAGATGAGGTCTCATTCTGTCATCCAGGCTGGGGTGCAGTGGTACAATCATAGCTCTCTGTGGCCCTAAATTCTTGGGCTCAAGCAACCCTCCTCCCTCAAACTGAGTAGCTGGGCTATAGGCACATACCACCAGGCCCAGCTAAGTTTTAAAGATTTGGAGATGTGAGGTCTCAATATGTTGGCTCAGGCTGGTCTCAAACTCCCAGCCTCAAGCAATCCATCTGCCTCAGCCTCCCAAAGTGTTGGGATTACAGGCATGAGCCAACACACCCAGTCATGAGTTGTATTTTCTTGATTCTCCATATGCCTGGACATTTGATTGGATGCCCAAAATTGTGACTTTGGATATTTTTGTATTTCTAGAATTATTCTTATACCTTATTCTAAGATAGTTACTTGGTCAGCTAGATCCTTTTGAGCCTTGCTTTTTTAGGCTTCATCAGGATTAGGATAGCCTCTAGGGCAGGACTTATTCCATTACTGAGGCAACACCTTTGAGTACTTTGTCCTATATCCCATGAGTTAGGTTTCTATTCTGGTTGCTAAGAATAAAATTATTTCAAGTGCTATGTGAGTTCCAAGGATCATTTCCTTTAAGTCCCCTTTGGGTGGTTCTTCCCTGGCCTAAGGTAGTTTCTTCACATGCATCTGGAGCTCAGCATTCAGCTGAAGATTCAAGGAGGACCCTCCATGGGTCTCTGGGGTGTTCTGTGTGTGGCTGTCTCCTCCAGCATTCTGCCCTGCTAATTCTAGCTACCTGGGCCGGCCAGAATTCAACTCATGGAGATTGCTAGGCTGTGTTGCCTGTGCCTGGGCTGCATTCTAGATACTCTCCAGCCACTAAACTGGGCAAGTTACAGGGTCACCTTGTCTATTTCCCCTCTTAGGCATCAGTCTTGTGCTCTTGATAGAAGACAGTTTTCAGACTCTTGATATGTTTTATCAGTTTTTAGTTGTTTCAGGCAGGAAGATAAATCTAACCCTGTAATTCCATTTTGGTCAGGAGAAGCCTATACTTGTCTCAAGTGTTTTGAAAAATCCTTCATGGGGGTAGCTGTTGGTCATTAAGAATTTCTAGTCTGACCAGTGGTCACTATCACTGCAGTATTACTGTTATGTACTTGCTGAAAGAATGGTGGGATAAAGATGGGCAGGTTTTTGGTAGGTATTTATCAAATGGCTCAGACTCAGGTGTAAAGGATAAACTTAACTCCTTGATTAGATTCTCAGCTGTTGGATACATTTCAGGTCTATAGGCTCAGTCTTTGGATCAATCTGATGGTCTTTGGTCTTTTCATGCAAGCAACAGACTACCAGGCAGTGATAGGCCCACAAATCTGAGACCTGTACAACCTAGCAGACTCTCGTTACCAGTGTCCCTCCAAATTGCTATATACCTGTCTCTCCAGGTTCTTAGGGAATGAACCCAGACCAATAAGGTCCTAGTGATGCCCACCTCAAAACCCAAGACTCCCAAATCCCCTGGCTTAGAATGGTTTACTGCCTGAGAAATTCTTATCTGTGATTCAAAAATCCATACGAAAGTGAAACCAAGTGATTTAAAAGCAGAGTGGTTAGCAGAAGGACAGTTGTCATTTTCTCCTTAAATTATGAAGGGTTTTTCCTTTAGGCTTATAATTCTGAAATAAGGTCAATGGCCTAGAATATGCAAACAGGGTCTAAGAACATATTTTAGTAACTAACATTGTTCTGGGTAAAGTTCCTGGTTATAAGAGGTTAATCTGATCTTTAGAGATAATGCCTAAAGCCATTTCGATAGAAGCAAGCATCTAAAGGTTTTTCTGACTGATCACAAGCTCTGATAAAAGCAATATCTGTTCAAGGAAAACAGCTATTTCTTCCAGGGAAGCTGCTCTATGTAAACAGTATCATACAAGAGACTGAAAGATGGAATCCTACCAGCAACAATGACAGAAATTTCTGCTTTCAGGATACTTTAGATCAACCTAGAATTTCAGAAACTAACAGAAGCCATGGAAAGGAAGGGAATGAAAACAAATGGCAAACTGGAACTATAGAGAGCCACTACAATCAGAACTTAGTCTAGGGAAGCCTCTGAAGTCATCTGAGGCAACAGTGGTCTGAATCCAAGGTTGGAGGTTCTAGTGGTTCACCTGCAGATAACAAAACCACTCTTCATCTGGGCTTGTCACTAAAACTGCTGTCATTTCTGTTAAGAACTCATTCAACAAATAAGACATTCATGTCTTATTAATGGCAGTGCCAAAAAAATGACAATCTCCATTTCTAATAGAGAGTGGACACTCCCTGTGAGTTCAGGCAGTTCTATTGGGGTGGTTGATCCCAGCCATACAAAGCCCAAGAGCTTGTATTCAAAGGATCTGAAGCTACACTGGGCACTAGGAAGAGACAATGCCAGCTTCACATGGCCACGTTATAAAATTGTTTAGCAAAGAATTCTTGGGAAAAGGCCATTCTGTGCAGAAGTAGAGTTGGAGTACCACCATCTGTAGTCTGGTCCTGTTCACATAAATGCCCAGTCTCAGGGATTCCATACACTTCCTGCTGGGAAGTCAAAGCCCTCTTCAGTGCCAGAAGTGGGCTACAGAGACTGGAAGCACAAGATTTTCCAATTCCCCTTAAGCCACATGAAGACCGTATCATTATGAATTGCGCTTGTCACAAGCATGTAAGGCTCTAGATAAAGCCAAACATTTTAGTCAACATTGAACCTGGGGCTGAATGCTAACATGCTTACATGGCTGGCAGAGCCTTGAAAAGTCTCCAGGCTGCTCACAAAGGCCACCTATTGACCCACATGCTGGTCAGTTGGTTCAGAATGAGCAGGAGACATAAGGTAATGTGTCTTCTGTCTCTTTGAATGATATTTTAACTTTGATAAAAGGGAGAAAATATACAGACTTATTTTGGTAAGGTTAGCATGAGATGTTCCTTGTCAGAAGATGGCATCAGTATTGCATAGACAGTGCTACAACACATGCCAATATCCTTTTCATAGACACTCAGACAATACCTATAGCTTCCTAGTTGTTTCAGACTTGTTTCTGCCCCTTTGCCAACACTGCTTCTCTACCTTAAGTAGGGTGATTGGTAAGTCAAAGGCTACTGGGAAGCCACAATTTAAGCAGTTAAAAGGTTAAAGCTGTATGGTAACTGGAAGTCTTATAACTGTATTAGGATAAATCCCAGTGGCTACAGACAGCATCTATTGTGAGCCAACATGACTCTCATCAACAGCAATTCAAAGGAAGATATAATTTTCTGTGAAGTCATCTTTAATCCCAAAATTATCTTTCTAGACCTGAGGCTAACAAGACCACATTTGGCTGAGTCCATACATGAGTTGGTTGAATATGCATCTGAAAGTTGAGCCTGAACAAGTTGAAGGACCTGTAGCTGCATTTGAAAGGAAATCCCCCAAAAAATATCTTGTTAGATGTCAGCCACAAGGTGTTTGTGGGGAAATTAAACTTTCTCAGGGGAATTGAGCTCAAAAAGATACCATGGAGAAGTTTAGCCCATTAAGATTGGAATTTGGGTTTCTCAAGGTACACATTTCTCTCATGGGACTAAGATGACTGACCCAAGCACAGGCCAGAGACTGGGGCAGCTAGGCAGCATCCATGCTGGTGTAAGCACCACGTGAGACTAGCATAGGTCCCTCAGACTGCACAGTACTTAGGTGAACACTGCAAGAGTCACAGCACTGTGGGAGACTGGAGGTACAGGCACAGCCTCACGGCTGTATGCCTCAGGTGTGGGCCTGGGCACCAAGATAGCATCTCACCCAGCGTGGGGGCTTTTCTGCCCACCTAGGTAGCCAGTGTGTCCCACAGCTTTGGAGGCTGCAGAGCGCCTGGGTGCCTCTTGGCTAAAATGGCCACCATGCACAGTTAGCTACAGACTCTCTGATGCCTATTTGCCAACTTGTGGGGCAGTTTGGGGTGCAGTAGGCTATAGGGATGCAGCTCTTGTCTCCGACTCTGGGCATACCATTCAGTGCTAATGCCTTTCAGAGGATGATACACCAAGGGAAAACCGGGGCCCCTTCTTGCAGCTGGTGAAAGTAAGGTTCTGCTAATAAAGCCCTGCTTCGCAATCTATTTTTGGCATAAGAATAAGCCCAGCTGGGCCTTGAAGTATGAGCAAAGCACTCCCTTGACGTGAAAAAGCAGGAAAAAAAATTTAAACTGTCTTCCTGGAGTCACTCTAACTTTAGAAAATCAGAATGACCAAGCTCATGACTTGTCTTCCGAACTCAGAGGGTCATTTTTCAGATGGTCATAGTATTTTTTCATGTATTCGTTTGAATATATAGATGGTTCTAGCTTTAAATATACTTAAGTTTTGCTTTTTGGTGGTCATGTTCTATTCAGTAGGTTACAACATGGCCTTCAGAGATACCAGTACCTTGATTAACAAGGGAATGAGGAGCAAACAGTCTTACTGTAAAGACTGATCGTTCCTTCTTTTTATATCTACCTTAACTAATTGGAATTTTAGAAAATTCTAGAGGCCATGGACTCAAGTGAGACAGGTTGTTGGGCAAGCTAGTCAATACAGCCAGACCAGGATTAAAGTTCTGGAGCTCTGTATCCAACTAAATAGCAGGCTCACAGACACATTGAGAACAGATGCCCAAAGCCCCCACAATAAAACGACATAGCCAACATGAAGTTTGAGTGCATAGGAATTTGACCCTAGGTCCCATCCATTGAGCTCATCCCTAACACCTATCCCAGAGTAACCAGATTTGACACCACTTGGCTCCTCACGAAGAATCATAAAACATTTTGTTGGAGGGATGCCACTTCGACCAAATTGGGAAATAAAATAGAGGTCATTTGAAGGTGTTTTTAACCCATGTTCAGTCCTACGGTCATCCTATATACTTGAGCAGCCCGGGTTTTGGTGTCGTTACAGATAAACACCTCAGAGCAGACCAGAACCATCAGATGATCACCTCCCCCTGCCTATCTCTCTTTTACATTTGTCACAGTTCTTTGATTAGGTGAGGCAGCAGGCCAGGTCATTTTCAGATACTTCTTGAGCCTGGAAAAGACAAAAACCAGATGCAGACTTCTCATGAGGCTGGCCCTCAACATCAGGAAATCAGGCTGGTCACATCACGGGCTCTCAGTATTAAGAGACTTAAGCACTAATAACTACAGAAAATATGATTCAAGGAAGCCATCACTTTTTCTGCAATAGTACATTATGCTCAGAGCAACTTGTTGTTTAATATAAAGCTATGTTTCTATTCTATCAAGTTTCCAACTAGAGTCTATAGCTCTATTCCTCTATTCCTATGTGATGTTATCTAGGGGTCTAGGAACTACAGGTGTGAGTTGGGCTGGCTCATTATGTTCTCTTCCAGGAAGCTACTAGCAGAATTTGTGCTCCCCATCCACACATGCTTAGGTTCTCCTAAGTAAGAGGTCCTGGTTCTACAGTAAGGTAGGAGAGATTTCTAATGTACACTGAGAGCATTCAATGTCAGATTCAAAGTGACCAAGCACGTACAGGCTGGGCAACCTAAAATGCTGCACAATCCACAACTGAGTGCTGACATGATGCAAGTTGAAAATTTTACATCTGACCACATGTGTCAGGTCAGTCAAAACAGAGGCACACCATTTGTGTTCCAAGGGGGGAAAAACACCCTCCAAGCCTCCTTTAGCCATGATACATCTTTTCTGCACATGCAGATTCCCCCATACAAACATGCCCACAAAGGAAAATAAGATGGCGTGCAGGCTGGGCACACCAATGGCAGATTTCCCACAATGCCCTACTTGGGGACAAGAGCTATGCAAAGATTATTCTAAGTGTTGGGAGCAGGCCCCCCCTGAAATCTGGCCATAAACTGGCCCCAAAACTGGCCATAAAAACAAAATCTTTGCAGCACTGTGACATGTTCATGATGGCCATAATGCCCATGCTAGAAGGTTGTGGGTTTATGGGAATGAGGGCAAGGAACACCTGGCCCACCCAAGGCAGAAAACCACTTAAAGGCATTCTTAAGCCACAAACAATAGCATGAGCGATCTGTGCCTTAAGGACATGCTCCTGCTGCAGTTAACTAACCCAACCTACTCCTTTAATTTGGCCCATCCCTTCGTTTCCCATAAGGGATACTTTTAGTTAATTTAGTATCTATAGAAAAAACGCTAATGACTGGTTTGCTGTTAATAAATACTTGGGTAAATCTCTGTTCGGGGCTGTCAGCTCTGAAGGCTGTGAGACCCCTGATTTCCCACTTCACACCTCTATATTTCTGTGTGTGTGTGTGTGTCTTTAATTCCTCCAGTGCCGCTGGGTTAGGGTCTCCCCGAC
Organism: Homo sapiens; assembly: GCF_000001405.40. Taxonomy (NCBI): domain Eukaryota; kingdom Metazoa; phylum Chordata; class Mammalia; order Primates; family Hominidae; genus Homo; species Homo sapiens. The sequence goes on from NC_000012.12 coordinate 114,092,657, forward strand.
CAAGCTGGTCTCGGCACTAAGCTCTGGTAGAGAGATACTGTTGGAAGGGTCAAGTCCTACCGACAGCCCTGTGGGTAACAGTGATAAAAAGGCAGCATTTATGTTTATCTATAGCACAGAAAGCCAAGCTGTTGGAGAAACTGAACAGCAGTTAGAGTGTGAAGCATCTTACAGAAGAGTATAGTATTGACCACCATATGGAATGACCACCATGTGACCTGACAAAACAAAAATAAGCTAGTGAAGTTCGTGCTGAAAGTAGTGGATAGTAGAAAAATATTAAATAAAGCTGTAAGTGAAGGTAATCATGTTTGACAGTAGGTCTGTCAGCATGGCAGTGAACACACGTCACTCAGTGCTGTGCTAATTATGAAACAAGCAGAGATCACCATGGATTGAAAATTAGGGGGAACTGAATATTCAACAGACTGATAACAGAAGTTTAAAAGACATGGCAGTAAGCTTTCAAACATCTGTGGCAATAAAGACATCTGATCACGAAGCAGTGAAGAAATTCCTTAGTCATTCCACCAAGGTCACTTCTGGTGAAAGTCTGATGCCAGGACAAGTCTATGATGCTGACAAAATACTGTTTTAGCATTATTGCCCCAGAAAGACTACAGCTGATGGGACAGCCTATAGAAACTGAGGATGCCAAGGACAGTAACTATGCTGGGATGTGCTAATGAAGACAGTGTAAACTTGTTATGAATGGCAAAAGCTTGTGTCCTCACTGTTTAAGGAGTTTCCTACAAGTCCATTATTGTGCTAACAAAAGGGTGTAGATAATTTAGGGACATCTTTCCCAGTTTATCATTTTGTGTCAGTAACTCATACTCACTGCAGGGAAGTTAGATTGGATGACAACAGCAAGACTGCTATTCCTTGATCATTGTTCTGTTCATCTTCCAGCTGAAGTTATTAAAAAGTGTTTATGCCATGTACTTTCACAACACAATTGCGTTAATTCAGCCACACGACTAGGATAGCCTTAGACCAGTAAATGAACACTTTGAACAGCATGCTAGCAGCTGTTAATAGAGGCATGGGTGTAGGTTTTCAAAAGGAAACCAGCATAGCAAATGCTTACATGCTGTTGTCAATGCTTGGAACAGTGATGAGTGTGTGCCTGAACATACAATCTCTGGCCTGCAATTATGTTCAGTGGTGAACAAGGCAATGACTTTGAAGGATTTTCGTGGGGAAAATGACCTTTGCATATGCAAAAGATATAGCTTCAGAGTCCATTAGTAGGCTGGAAGAAACGGATGTTGACTTTTCAAAAGTTGTTCATTGCCAGGGAAATAGCTGAAATGGCTCTGACTAAGGTGATTGTGGCAACAGCAAAAGTATAGTATAGAAGTAGTATCTTCAGATGACATGGTAGAAGTGTGTGATAGGTTTAAGGACTAGAGCAGAGTATGTTCTTAAATTGTATCAGTCTCATTTTACCAATAAAAATGATAGTTTAAATGAGGCAGATGATGCTGGAGGAAGCATTAAAAACCCATTCACCGAATATCTCATCTCTAAAGGGCCCATTTCCTGGTCCTTCAACTGCTTGATGTTTTCTCATGTAAAGAAAATATAGTGTAATCTTTTAATCAAAAACAGCATCATAGGTAGACCGATTTCTGTTTAACAGCTGATGCAGGTATTCTGGTGATGCTACTAGGCCTAGTTACCCTAAGCACTTTTCATTGCATTAGTTGTATGTCTTTTCACTGTTAAAACACCATATGAATAAAGTGATCGCTTATCAGTGGCATATAAACTCAAAGTCAAGAATGACGGTGATGCTAAACTATAGGTTGTCCATATGGATGGCTGAGATAGTGACACCTTTACTTTTTGATGGTTTGGTATAAACTTTGTTTTGAGCACAAATATCATATAAAGTAACCTTCAGTTGATGGTGTACATGAAATTGTTCTTAGATTTGTCCCACCCAAGATCTCTCATGTGAATGCAAATACTCAAATCCAAAAAAACCTGAAGATACTTCTGTTCCCAAGCATTTTGAATAAGGATATTCAACCCATAGCAGTGACCTGGTTTCTGCCAGTAGACTGGCAGGAGAAGGAAGTTATACCTGCAGGGGCAGCCAAATCTGGTTATGAGGCATGAGTTGTTATATCCTGAGGGCATGGAAAAGGGTGTCTGGATCTTGCAGGAGTCATTGGGGGCACCACTTGGTACTTTCACACCCAGGGAGAACGTTGAATCTTTGCCCTTGATTTCCTTGTCTTTGTCAGGCATGGTTGGAGTTGCTCAAAGATGAGGGTCTGGGTCACTCTACCAGGTACATCTTGTGGAGGGTAAGGGAGATTCCCAGTATAGAACTTTAGAGGTGTGGCTATAGATACACTTCCTGGATGTGAGTGATAAGAAACCGTATTACTGGGGTAATACTGCATAGAAAGATATTTAAGCTTTTTGTCACTGACCCAGTTCCTTTCAAGACAATGCTACCTCCCAAGGCCAAAATGATCTAAAGGCATTTGGAGATAACTCAAGTAGAAGTCTCTTCTGAAAGAACTGTTCCTTAATTGCACTACTTCTATATGGACCCGGGAAGTGCACCTTCAGCTGTCTTTCCCAGATTTCTTTGGTCCCTTCAGAAGTCTTGGATAGTTCAGAACATGGAGGATACAGAGGTTGTGATGTATCCAATAAAGCCTGTGAAGCCCAACAGGTTTCTCAGAGGAAGGTGGGAGATTGAGTGGCATATCTATGTCTACAACACAAAAGACATACCAAGCTGCACGTGCATTCAGTGACTAGAAGCTGTGAGAGCACAGAGGCTCCACCATCTTGCCCTGGAACAGGACTGGAAAAATTCTTGCTCTAGAGCTCCTACAGGGAGGCCAAGGCTTCATCATGCCTGCATCATGGCTTGGCATCTTCTGTACAATGCAGCCTCCTTTCCCCTTTTCACAGGTGTTGATTCCTAATAAATTTTGATCCACCACCCATCACAAATCTTGACTTCATTACAGACTTGGACAGGAACAAGTGGTCCAAGGACATGGAGAGGATCCAGGTGCTGAGCTCCCTCCTGAAGACAGGAAGTATTCCTGGACTCACTTTATATAGTACCTGGAATTTGGGTTTGCTTTTCCCTGTAGGCTTTGGGGTTCCTGTGAAGGCTGGAACTATTTTGCACATACAGACTCCACTGAGTAACTGAAGTTCCAGCCAGAATTCTACTCCTTCAAAGCCTCTCACTCTAGGAAGGGGAACTTGGCCCCCCTTCCCCTTCCTGCCAGCTGGTGACGCCTGGGTACTGCCACCAATCCTGCTCACCTGCCTGCTCTGGAAAAGTCTCAGCTGGGCCTTGGGTTTTAATGACAGGGGTACTTAGCCACAAGAAGAATATACTAGCGCTTTTTACCATCTACACTGATTTTTTTTTTTTTTTTTGAGACAGTCTCACCTCTGTTGCCCAGGCTGGAGTGCAGTGGCACAATCTCGGATCACTGCAAACTGCCTCCTGGGTTCAAGCAATTCTCCTGCCTCAGCCTCGTGAGCAACTGAGATCACAGGCATGCGCTGCCATGCCCAGCTAATTTTTGTATTTTTAGTAGAGATAGGGTTTTGCCATGTTGGCCAGGCTGGTCTTGAACTCCCAATCTCAAAGTGATCCATTTGGCTCAGCCTCCCCCAAAGTGGTGGGGCCTCCCCCAAAGTGGTGGGGTTACAGGCATGAGCCACAGCCTACACTGGTATTTTTGAACATGTGTGTTTTTTAGAGATGGGGTCTCACTACACTGCCCAGGCTGGTCTCAAATTCCTGGTCTTAAGTGATCCTCTCACCTCAACCTCTTAAAGCACTGATCACAGGCATGAGCCACAATATCCAGCCTATTTGTTTCTAAGAAAAACTAAGGCATATTGGGCAATTTCAAGGTATGGTTTTTTTTTTTTTTTTAGGTGAGGGAAGTCATTTTAATATCTTGACCACAGTCTCACTACTTTGGCATTCATGAAGCCATTAGTCAGAGTGTGAATCCAAATCTATTTTAAGCAACCAGAGCATATCTTGCCATGTGGCTTCCACATAAGTCCCAGAGACATTGACCTCTTCTGAGATTTTGTAGGATAGCACAAAACAAGAACCTCTGTTTGAGGACTCAACTGTTAAGATTTCCTATTCATGGTTGAAAAGGTTACAGCATCTAGTTCCGAGTTCTTTATGAAAACTCATGACTGTCTTTGCCTGAACACTGCTGATAAAGTCTCACATGCACAAGAGCAGTTAGGTCTTGTCCGTGTCTTCTACATGGACACTCAGTAGAAGAGAATACCCCATTCAGGAAGGGCTGGTGTCATCTTGGGTCAAAAGATTCTTTCCAAGCTTCTCATCTACAGGCCAACTCCGATTCGTATTCTAGATAAGTTCTTAAGAGTTGATGAACAAGAATTCACTGACCAAGACTGATGTCTCTGAAATTCAAGACAGATGAGCTGAATGAAGTTCAGCACTGCATTCTCTATAAGACATCTTAGGGTAGGGGGGACGCACCCATTTAGCCCGTGGCTGTTCCTCCTGCAGCTCTGCAACATGGCCCAACCCTGCAAGTGAGGGAGCAGGTCCAGCCTTGGAGTAGCAGGCAGGAAGTTGTATTTCTCAGGAAGCTGGTAGAAAGCCTTTTGCAGCTTGTCCCAATGATCCGAGTGGTGCCAAAATGAAAGTGAAAAGAGTACAGAGTGCACATTGTGCACATTACCCTAAAACAAAGTATAATAATAATAAAAAAAGAAAGGAGTACAGAGTGGAAGAGTAGTTGAGTCTTGATACTCGCAGTATAAGAACAAAAAGCCTCCTGCACCTGATATGTCAAAGACCATCTAAAGTTAGCCAGGCATAGGTGTGTGTATGCCTGTAGTCTCAGCTACTCAAGAGGCTTAGGTGAGTGTGACTTGAGCTTGGGAGGTTGAGGCACAGTAAACATGCCATTGCATTCCAGCCTGGGCAACAGACTCTGCCTATAAAAGAAACACTACATAAAAGCACCACAGAGTGGGAAGGTATCTGAAGGTGAAAGGAAATCCAACCTGCTCCAGGAAAGCAGAGCTGATGGCAGTGGGTTCAGAAAGGCTGACCTGCAGTCTAGGGCACAGCCCAGTCCCCACTCCCTCTACCTGGCTCGGCCATTCATGGTAAGTGTGGTCAGAAAGACTCTAGTTAGAAAAGACAATGTCAAAACCAAGTCCACATCATTTCTGCCCCTCAGAGAGCCCAAGTTTGTCCAAAGTGATAGAAGTAGAGTCCCAAATATTACTATTGACTCTGCTGACTGTAAAGGAGAACAATCTTGCTTAGTTCAAAGGCAGAGCAGTATGTAGAAAGCAGCTACAGAAAAAAGCTGAAGCACAGGCCTCAGCTAGAGGCAGTGGGAGCTGGCAGAAAGCTCAGCCACCAAATTGAGATGCTCAGCCCCTTTGAGGAAGTAGCTGAATGCTTTAAGGAATAATACAACATGTTTGCCATGGCCCTGGACACCAGGCATGAGCTGCCTGTGAGACTGAGCCACCTGGAGGAAGATGGGCAGCGATTCTTAGGTATCTTCCCAAAGCAAGTTCAGCTGCCCTTGAGTTTGGTTGTTTCTAAGAGTTCTCACAGGTCATCTAAATTTTGCTTGAGACTGTTGCAATAGAACATCACTCCCCGAAATCCACAGGTAAGACTTCCCCTGCAGAGCTCTCCATTGAATTAATCTGAAGCAGAACGCAACACAGTCCTCCCAGATCCCAAATGATGTTGCTGGATTGACAGCTTAAGTGATTTTTGAAGTTTTCCAATGAAGATTTTATATATACAGTTACCAAACAGGAGTGACAGCACAGTCGAGTAGGCAAGGTCAGGGTGTTTGTCAGAAGATGACTTGGACAAGGTTCGGTGGATCTAAGAATGATACCAAGAACTGCAGCAGGCTTACGGAGACACAGGACACTTAAGCAGCTTGGGTGCCAAAATATAGCCAGATTTCCAGCTGTTGTGATAGCTTTTGGTTGTTTTGCCACATTTGTATGCTTCTTTTGTCTGTTTTGTATTGAAGTGACTGTTGAAACTAAAGGTAAAAGGATAAGTGATAATGGAAAGCTTTGAATGAGACTCAGGTTTTTGACTCAACCACCAATTTCTTTTCAACTCCTAACACATAGGTGAGACACTTGTGTTAGGATTTGATAGAGCCTTGCCTATCAAATTGGCTCCATGAGTGTTAAGTTCTCATCAGTAATTCGAACTCAAGGCTGGGTCTACCATTGCTTAGAGTGACTATGAGGACATTCCTCCCTAGATCACAGTTATTGAAGTAGGATACTTCCCTGACCCCTTCGTGGGACTCATGACAGGGATGCCTTGTTTACTCAGCCTGCCACTCTCAACTCCTCGAAGGAAGGAGCATGCAAGTGAACAAGGTGGGGACTGGAGTGCATGAGCACTGGAATTGATTGGCAGCCTTGTTGCGGGCAGGATCACACTCCACTCACTCAGACTCACTGCTGCATTCCACCCCTCATGGGAGGGGGAGGGCAGGTGAGTGAGTGCAGGAGCCAGAGCGAGCACTTTTGAGCGCTGGCAGGAGCGAACTTTGCTCAAGCCCCCGGCAGCATCTAGGCAGGGTGCCTGTGACTTCTGAAGCCCCAGGAGGTGTGTCACAGTGCTCTTTTAGCTCTGCTGTCTATGGATGGTCTTAACAGCTCAATGGGCCCTCCACTCTTTCACATAAGGCAGCTGCCCTCTGCCAGAGAGGGCAAAGGGCCAGCTGACAGCTTTTTGTATCCACACTGGTGGCTCCTGAGCTCATCTGACTTCCAGAAAAAATGAGGTTGCATGAGTGAATTGATGGATGGTAAATGCAGGGGATTTTATTGCCAATGAAAGTGGCTCTCAGCCCTAAGGGGAGCTGAAAAAGGGTAGGGTGGGTTGGTAATCTTCCCCTGGAGTCTGGCTGTCTCTGGCTGGATTCTTCTCTGAAGCTATGCCATCAAGCTATTCCTCTGAAGCCAAGCCACTTCTGATGTCTGGCCATAGTCCCTGATGTCCAGCTACTTCTCTCTGCCAGCTGAGTCTGGGATCTTTATAGGCACAGGATGAGGGCAGGGCAGGTCATGGGTAGTTTAGGAAAAGGCAACATTCAAGCTGGAAAACAAAGATAAAATTTCTCACTTTGGGCCATAGTTTCAGGCCTTTCAGCTTGCAGGTGGAGTTTTGTTGTGGACCTACCCCTTTTCTGCCCAGAATTTCTCTGCCCCCATCCCTATCATTAGGAGGGTCTCTCCAAGAGAGTTTGTGTTTGGAGATACCACAAACAAAATCCCAGAATCATGAAAATTGTTTTCTGCAGCTGCTGAAATAAGTAGGCATAAGCCTATAGCCACTAGAACATGATTTCAGTATAAAAACTTCTTTCTGGTTTCAAGATTCCTATTAGTCAGGGAAATCTCAGTCAAGAGTAGTGAACAGGCCTTGGAAGCTGAACTCAGGTGCATGCAAATCCTGGTTCTTTCACATGTGTCATGTGACACTTACTAGATTCTAAGCCCTAAGCTTAAGTTTCTAGAAGCAGGAAGGGGGATTTTCATACCAGCCAGTTTATAGCTTAAGAGCACGGGAAGCATCTAGAACAGATCTATAGTAAGCATTTATTTTTTGAGTAATAGAAAGTTCTTCCATGATTCTATCAGATTATTTGCAGTGAGAATATGAATAAGTCTTGATTTGGATCCAGTTATAGTATTAGCAGTCCTTTCTAGTCTTTCAGAATACCTTTAATATTGTGAAGACCAGGCAGATAGTCTAGGTTGACATCTCCTGAAAACTTGATCTTTTTCCCCTTCTTGGGAAGCAGCAGTCCCAGCATGGAGCCCGGATTAATTTGGGCTAAGATGTGGCCTTTTCAAGTCCTTACCCCAGTTGGGAACAACATATAGGTGCCAGCTGGCTTTGCCCGTTAATACCCTTCTGTGAATTTCCTGGCTTTAAGTGCCAGAAAGTCATTTATTAGGTAAATGGAGGATGCCCTGAAAATTTACCTGCTATCAACAAAGTCTGTATTCAAAGTCCAGCTCTCTGAAAAAAACCCTCTTCTGAAACCAGCCTGAGAGCCCTAATCTCTTGCTGGGTCTCAGCTACTAGTGACTATTAAGGGCAAAAACCTCTAGCATATGGTTTTTATATAAGCCTGAGTGTTCTTAGAGCTGAGCTGTTAAACATGAGTTCCTTTGTCAGATGGATAGATTGCAAAAATGTTCTCCCATTCTGTAGGTTGCCTGTTCACTCTGATGATAGTTTATTTTGCTGTGCAGAAGCTGTTTAATTAGATCCCATTTGTCAATTTTGGCTTTCGTTGCCATTGCTTTTGGCATTTTAGTCATGAAGTCTTTGCCCATGCCTATGTCCTGAATAGTATTGCCTAGGTTTTCTTCTAGAGTTTTTATGGTTTTTAGGTCTTATGTTTAAGTCTTTAATCTGACAAAGGGCTAATATCCAGAACCTACAAGGAACTCAAATTTACAGGAAAAACAACCCCATCAAAAACAGGGCAAAGGATATGAACAGATACTTCTCTAAAGATGACATTTATGTGGTCAAACATGAAAAAAAGCTCATCATTGGTCATTAGAGAAATGCCAATCAAAACCACAAGGATATTCCATCTCACACCAGTTAGAATGGCAATCATTTAAAAGTCAGGAAACAGATGCTGGAGAGGATGTGGAGAAATAGGAATGCTTTTACACTGTTGGTGGGACTGTAAGTTAGTTCAACCATTGTGGAAGACAGTGTGGCGATTCCTCAAGGATCTAGAACCAGAAATACCATTTGACCCAGCAACCCCATTACTTGGTATATACCCAAAGGATTATAAATTATTCTATAAAAACACATGCACATGTATGTTTATTGCAGCACTGTTCACAATAGCAAAGACTTGGAACCAACCCAAATGCCCATCAATGATAGACTGGATAAAGAAAATGTGGCACATGTACACCATGGAATACTATATAGCCATAAAAATGACGAGTTCATGTCCTTTGCAGGGACATGGATGAATCTGGAAGCCATCATTCTCAGCAAACTAACACAGGAACAGAAAGCCAAGCACCACATGTTCTCACGCATAAGTGGGAATTGAACAATGAAAATACATGGACACAGGGAGGGGAACATCACACACCAGGGCCTGTTGGGGAGGGTGGGGGACTAGGGAAGGGATAGCATTAGGAGAAATACCTAATGTAGGTAATGGGTTTTTGGGTGCAGCAAACCACCATGGCATGTGTATACCTATGTAACAAACCTGCGCTTTCTGCACATGTATCCCAGAACTTAAAGTATAATAAAGAAAAAAAAAAACAACGTGAGTTTCCACAAGTCAGACTTTCAACACCAAACAAGTTCCTGGTTTCCAGTGGCTTCCAAAGGGTTCTCAGATAACATCCTGACTTGCTCAAAGCTCCATATGATCAGACTCCCTGTCCACATGGCCAATAACCCTCCTTATAGGTACTGTCTTCCACCAATTGGAAACTGTGAGACTAGTTTTTTTGTTTGTTTTGCAGGTAAGACTGTCATTCTTTGCTTTTATGATAATCTAGTCAAAAGCAGACAGCAAAATTCTAAGGACAATGACATAATAAGTTGAATTGTTCCAGAATGGAGCCAACACCGACTTTAATAAAAAGTTATTGGTAACTGTCTCAAGAGGTCACACTGAAGACCTCTGAGAAGTTTCCAGAATTGAAGTTCCCAGGTTTTACAATCTGTCCCCAGTGAAAAGGACAAGTGCCTAGGCAGGTAAAGGGCATGTGTTTCCCACTGGCAATGTTGGAGACAATCTGTTCTCATAGGCACCTTCCTCACATATCCCTGTTGTCTATAGACCTTCGAAGAACTTTACAGGCTCACCAAGAGACTGACCACTGCTTTGGGTTTAAGTCAGTCTTAGATTTTGGTAGACTTGACAGTCAAGGACTGCTCCCTCAGCCCAGTTCACAGATTTTCCCTGAGGTCCAATTGGGGTATCAGATGCCCAGTGGCCAATACTGAAGCAACAGATGCAATGAGCCACACACATTTTGAATGAACTAGTATTTGATTCCGTAACTCTGACCCAAAATCAAGATAGTTTCTAGACCTAAGTTTAAGCAAAACCACAGGTGGTCAAAGTGAACAAGAGTAGAAAGTAGAGAAATAATTGGGCAAGTTTAAGACTTTAGATGGATTGACCCTCCCAAAGAAGACACTGGATCCTAAGTCAAGGAACCTACAGCTGTATTTTGGAAGAGAGGACTGATAATGTCATGTGCTTCATTTAGCCTATCCCTCTAGGGGAAAAGAAACATAGGGAAGTACTTCTCACCATACTGGGCAGTGGATTTGAGGCATTGCAGAATTACAAAGCATTCTTACTCATTCTCAGCCTGATCCTTTTGACAGGAATGGTTCTTCTCAGGATAAACCATGAAGTTTGGGTAGCAAAGACCTAGTTCCAGACCTGGGCTACAGAGACCATGACATAAGAGGGTTTAGCTGGGAATGAACAATTGTTCTGTGTTCATAACTTCCAGATTTGTAATAGCCAGAGCTAGTATGGCTTGGTCTTTTGCCTTATCACTTTAGGTGACATTTGAGGCTGGAATTGGAAGCCAAAACACTGCAGGATGGAGTTCTCTGCTCAGGATTACTCAGCTTAAATGAATGCTGGGAAAATTCCTGGACCATTCCAGGAGGCTGCAGAAGGAATACCTGATCATATTCCTGGAATTTGTCACCTTGTCATGATTACCACAAACGTATCTTGGAGCTGGCATCTTCTCCAGGTCCTAAGACTTCTGTCAGCCTAATGACAGCCAGATCCCTTTCCATCAGCCAACAATATTTGATGTGATACTTGGAACTGAAGATTACAAAGATTGGAAAGACTTGATGCAGGTTTCCTTCACCATAGCTAAGAACTACCTTTTTCATGTATTTCTGGTTTTCTGCTATTGACAATGTGCATTTTGAACAGAATTATAGAGCTTTCTATTATATTTAGCATTAAGGTCCTCATTTCCAAAAGTTATTCTCTTATATAAAGGAACCAGGACAGCTTCAAAAAATGGTAGTCTAAGGTGAATAAAATTATGAGAAAAGTGCTTGAAGAGAAACATTGAGAGCACAGCCGGCTTGAAAGTGTTCCTCCCTAACAAAATTTGGTATAACTTATGACAAGATAACCTGATGCATTGCTTCTAGAAAGGCCCTCTGATAGGAGTACTATATAGGTGTTGGATAAACTCAAACAAAACAAGGAGACAATTTCAGTAAGTCAAGTTGATATGCCTTTGGATTCTTCAAAAACTTAAGTCTTAGAAAAAACCGTGTAGGGGGAGTATTTTATCAGTCTCCTTTAAGATCCTGCTTTCCAATCCATACATGTAGCCTCAAGCCTTAGAAGGGACCAAGGTGGAGACCCCCACCTGCAAGCAGATGCCACAGTTGACCTAACACCCCCTCATAAACCTCATACAACCTGAAGGTTACCTTTCCCCATGAGTCTATTGTGTCTCCTAATGAGCATGACACTCCTCAATATAGGTGCCCTAAAGAACAGCTGTCTCAGAGCTGGTGATCAAGTAGTAACAAGACCAGACCCTTCCTGCCAATCAGTGAAAAGTAGGTACTGCCCTAGACTTTACCTGTCTGCTCTAGACACAGGAATACTCCCAAATGAACCTTGCTTTTGAGAAAGGCACTTAGATGAGACATGGTAGAAGGCAGCTTCATTAGATAGTGGCCCTTCTAGAGCTAAAGATGGGAGGGAAGTAGAGTACTGAGGAGCATACCAGGCTGCTTCTCACTTTTGCCATCTAGAACACCTTCCACCATGGCCACCTCAAGTTCCCACTTGAACAGAGGGGTCAAACAAGAAACAAGTTCCTGATTCAGGGTGGGTGCTGTGGTTTGTGTCCCCTTTAAGATTTGGGTATTGAAACTTAAAGACAGTGTGTGATAGTATTAAGGGTGAAGACTTTAACAGGCAATTTGGCAGTGGGGGCTCAGGCCCTCATGAGTGGGGCTTCATAGAAGATTTGGCTCTTTTGCTCTGTCCACTGAGTGAGGACACAGCAACAAGGCACCATCTTGGAATCAGAGCAGCCCTTATACAATTGAATCTGATTCCTTAGCATCGGATTTCCTAGCCTTCAGAACTGTATGAGAAGTTGTCCTAAGTCACCCGGTCTGAAACATCCTGTTATAGCAGCCAAAATGGACTAAGACAGTGGGAAAGTCCAAGCCATGTATGTTTGGATTGATGGCATCAGAAGAGGATCATGCTATGAGGTCCACCCCCAGGACAGCAGGCCCAAGTGTGTACAGTGAGTGGAGTTGATGGCTCTAGTGCTTTTCAATCTGAAGCCTGTAACAGTGACATCTCATCCCTGCTGCCATTTTGGGACTCTTCCTACAAGGACCCTAGCCAGCTGGTGTTCTGTGAAGTCTAAGTATACCCCAAAACCTATGAAAGGTCAGTTTAAGACACGCCTGTAAATAGGTAAAGACATGGTGAACAACCAGCATCCCTGATTTGGAATGCAACAGGAATATATTTCTTATAGCAGATGGGCATCCCTTCAGTTTGCCTTCCAATGAATTCCCTGGGTCCCAAGGTTCATATTGCTGCAGTGCAAAAGTAGACGTACTACCACAAGAATATCAAGGAGGCTCACTACCAAGTCTATTTATATATGGGCATGAGGATGCATGCCAAGGTCATGAAAGCCCAGTGGGAATTTGATAGAGAAATGTGGAACAATTACATAGTGAGATCCTCTCAGGGTAGTCCATTTCATCTTGCATTGTGTGAAGACTTTGGAGCAATAGATTAGGATCAAAGGTGGTTATTCTTGGTAACTAGAATAGTGCAGGAGGTCATCCCAACTTCAGCACCAAGGCCATGCAAGAGAAGGTTGAAGTACATTGAGGCAGCCATTGAAAGACTAAGCCACTGATATCAGTGGCCAGATTCAGGTTTATGATCCCAAGGTGGTCCTGGACAATACCAAATGCCTAGCCAGATTCACAAAACCCGCAGCCATTAACTTCCCTGCTGGCATGGTCACCCATGGGGCCTGCGTCCCCCTTCCCTGGGCCATTGACCAGGAGAATGTTAACTGAAGACCATCTGTGGTCACATCTGTGAGCTCTTCAGTGACAGAAGCCCTCATTTACACATCAATGATGCCAGCATTGAACTCTTCCAATACGGAAGCTGAGTGGACCACACCTTACCTTTCAAAGTCTTCCCACTTCATCCTACTCTCAACTCTCCCATTGTCCTAGTAGCTGTTAGGTAAAAGGTAGAACGTCAAGGTCTGTTTTTCATACCCAGTTATTAACTCCTGCTTTAGCTGGCCAGGATGGAGAGAACATGTTTTAATGTAATGTTCACTTTTTCCTCTAATCACTGAAGCTTTCTAGTGATTTTTAGTGATGGGGGTGAAAAAAAGTGACCCCTGATTCCATGGAATCAGGTATGTTTGCCCAACAGATGTAGCTATCCAGAGAAGTATATCTGGAGGATTTTTCTTTAAGATTGATGAAAGGGGAAGGTCTGATGGTTAGGTTAGGATTTATCTTGGAAAGTTGGTTAAAGTAGAAAGTTGGTTAAAGGAAAAGGAGAACTAGAGATTGAAGAAAATGTCCTTGGTCTCTTACTGTTTCCCATGCTTGAGTCTAAGTGCCTCTGTTGGGGAAAACACTTCTATTCAATACTTATCCCAGAAGACTTCTGTAACCAAGAGTGTAGGGGTTTCTCCAACAAGTAGTCAGTCCTGCAGTGGATATCAGCTGAGGATCCAATTTAAATTGACACTATCCACCTGGAGTTAGCATCCCATCCAGATTGAAAGCTCAATCCCACAGGACTGCCCCCCTCTCCCCACCAGGCAGAAGTCTGGGCCTTCAGAACTCCTGATTAGCATTCAATTGGGATCTACCATGAATTGGATTCAGTGAATTTGGTAGAGCAGCTTGGGGAACTCAGCAAAACTTATGTTTGTTTTATAAAGATTACAAAGGAAACAGACACACATAGGCTAAATATGGCAGAAGAGGTATGAAGCTGCCATGCCTTCCCTGGGCCACCTTCCAGGGAACTCCACATGTTCAGCTGTCTAAAAGCTCCCCAGATCTGGTCCTCTTGGACCTTTCATGGAGACATGAGATGGCTGTGACTGACAACCATGTAGAAATGTGATTGGATAAAGATTATCTGAACAGGGAAACTCAGCAAGGCCTAACTCTTCCAATTCTTCCCAACATCTCTGTAGCATTCCTTCCCTCCAAAGTGTGGGGCAGGACCCCTTTTCTCAGATGGGGTCTTGTGGCCTAGAAATCAGACAATAAGGTCTGATAATTCCTTTTATCGCTAGCTCCAAGACAGGAAGGCAGGGGAAGATTCCTGCCGTGGGGAGAGAAAGGCAATGAAAAGGCAGTAGGAGAATGAGATTGTTTTGAGGCCTGCTTCTAAGGTCTAAAATGCTTCTGAGGTCTAAAAAGTCCTATCAATGTCCTTGCCTGAAGGCAAAGTTCAGAGTATAAGCTGGTTGATCTCTATCCTAAAAAAATCTTATTGGTTGGTTTTTCGTTTAGGTTTTTATTAAGTATAAAAACAGGTCATCCACACATAGCAATGTGCTTTTCTAGAGAAAACCATCCTACTCACCGAGAGCCAGGATTGAGGTGAGTAATCTGGTTAGACATAAGGATCTCCTTTTGAGTGAGGATCCGGAAGGTGGTCCTTAAAAGTTGGCTATTTGGGTCTGCTATTCCCTCATTACCACTTAAGGGTTTCCTGTGCCCTGCTTATTCTGGAGAGGTAGACACTGGTCATATCTATAGCAGCCACCTGAGCCCCATGGCTGTAGTGTAAAAGACACCTGTACTTGTATACAAAAAAAGTTTAGAAATGTTCGACTTGAACATGTTACTGACAAGGGAGTAAAGACTGGTTATTTTCTGATGGCACTGGTTATTAAAGCAGACCTGAAAAAAGTAAGTGATAGCAACCCTTCTATTGGCATATTGCTTTCTAGGATGCTACTTGAGTTTCTTAATTTAGGAAAACATGCTTTTAATTTCATTGCAAGATTTCTAACCACATCAGGGAATACTACTTTATCCAATATGTGAGCTACATTCTCATTATGATAGAAAGTGTATCCCCAGACGCATCCTGTAAGAAGACTGGAGTTCAAAGTATTTCAAAGGACAGAAGAAATCAAAATGTGGCTCATGCAGTTGTTTTAGACTTTTGCCTTCCTCCATCACTGGGCCAAGTGGACCTTCCAAAGTTTCCTTGGATCCTTCTATAAGACCAACCCTAATTCGTGTTTAGGAAATTACACTGAGCACTTTAGGAAAACTGGGCCTTTATGATACTTAAGCTAAAAGAATAATTCTGTCTCCCTTCATGTAGCTCTAGGACCATAAGACAAGACTGCTTGAAGTGTTAGGTTTCTAGTTCTATAATCCCCATAGCCAACTAGTCTGCCTCCCCATGAGTCAACAAGGTGTTTGGAGAGATGGCGTCAGCTATGTTCGTTGAGACCAACAGACAGGCAGATGTAGAGATTGCCAATGTATGTCCTCAAAGTAATCCCTCGCCATGTTAGAGATGGGTAAGAAAGTCATTCAGGAAGAAACTTAAGAGTAGTTCAGCAATGCCTCTAGAAAGGCTTAAGACACAGCAAGAATTCTTGGTTTAATCCTTCACCAAGTTTCTTGTGAACCCTTCAGTCCAAAGGTCTGCAAGACATTGCCTTCAAGAAAAGGCAAAAGTTCTGAAGTCCTACAGTAGTGGCCCGAGAGGTTAAGTCAGTATGTGGCTCAAGATGGCCTGCGTTACATGATATAGGTCTCCACGGAGATAGTTATTGGTTCACCTAAAACCTTTCAGGTAACCAGACCAACCCAGCAACAAGGGAAAGAGATTTCTGTAGAAGTTACCCACATGCAGTCCCTCACTCCCCAAACTAAGGACAACATTTATGCTGTCAACGTCCAGAAATCCGATTTAGTGATAAGAGTCCATAGAGAAGGAACCTCATAGAAGTAGCCACGAGGGCACTCAGGTGAGGCTACAACCAGATTCAGTTGCCACTGCAGCATCTTCAACAAGGTCAAATCTGTTCAGAGTTGGCCCCAGTGACTGATGGGTCCTTATCCTAAGCCTGATGCTCAGTGCCACACAGACATGGGAGAATAAGCAACTTTACCTTCTCTGGGTTCTGACTTGATACCCCCCATAGTGGCTCCTGCTCCAGGACCCAGGATAAAGGCACTCTCAGAAGGAAAGTTAGAGAAAAGATATACCTGTTTATTCTGCAAGTGTAAATGAAAGGTTAAGTAGAATAAACGTAAATGATAGCATGGGCATGCAATAAGATATACAAAGTGGGACAAATCTGTGGAACAGCCAGCCACCTTTTTGAGAAGTATGTGATGGGAAGAAAAAGAAACCTGCAGTTTAAGACATAGCAACTTACTAGATAAGGTAGCATGAGGAAAAACAGGTAACAACCAACTATGTTTTAAGGTTATTTGAATCAGGATTTGACTTGATTTGAATCAGGATTCAAATAAAAAGTCAAGACATGTATGACACTTGGAATCTGAAGTTTGGAAACTGATGGGTTATATCTAGTGATAAACTGGTTAAGCTTCTTTTTAGGTATTGAAGTATTACATGATGGCTAAAAACCCTTTAGAGATATCTGAGTAGGTTGAGGGCTAACATTGGCTTCAAATGACTCAGGGAAAGTAGATGGGGGCACATATGAAACAAGACTAGCCACGAATGGTAATTGCTGGCTGTGGGCATTTGAAAGTTAGAGCTACTGTCTAGTTTGACATGTCTGAGGACTTAAGTTTAAACAAAGCTTCCAGGCCACCTGAAAGGCCAGGACAGTTTTGGTTTACATAGATTCAGGGACTACAGGAAAGGTAAACATTCTAGGGGACTGCAGACAGCTGTTTCATTCCTTGGTTCAAGGAGAAGAATTTCTAGGGAGTTGCAGAACTTATTCTACTGAAATCTCACCTTGAGAAGATCTGAATGCTTTTGTTTTCATTTTGGCTAAAAGGATATCCATAGGCCAATTGGAGGCCCTTGTGCTTGACACTGAGTCAATATCAGGGAAGTTGACACCAAATTTGTTCACTTTGACATTCACTATTAGAATTCTAGTACAAGTGACCCCATGGCAGTGACAGAGCATTCCCCTAACTCAATGGGAGGGGAAAGCTGCAACCCAGGACAGTGCTGATACCATCAAGGGGCCTGCCCAATGAAGCCTGGATGGAAGCTTATACCAAGTCTGCACATGCAGATAGATTCTGGAGTCAATGTGAGGGATGACTTGCTGAGGAATAGCATGCAAAGGATGCCCAAGGAAATGTAGATTGGAGCCCTGCCCTCCTTAAGACAGATATCCATATTCATGCCAAGCATATACTTTGGCATTAGTCTTTCCTGAAGCCATGTTTGGCTAGGATTAAGGACTTCCAGCCTTCTTGAAGATGACAATATCTAAGTCTGGTTAAGTAAATTTTACTTAAAAGTAGCTTCGATATTATAGAAAATAGGTAAAATACTAGGTAAACCATAGGATCAAGATTCATCCCAGACATAACCAAAGGAAAAAGCCAGCTTTCCAAAGGATAGGAGTTCAACTATGTTATCAACCTCTGTTTCATCAATAGTGGGGCTTCTGCTGTGTCTCTAGATGATGCCTTAAGAAACACCCACTCCCCGTGAGGGATGTTACCAAGAAGTCAAGAACCACCAGTAACTTTGAAAAGTCCAGGTTAGTCATCTTTAGTTAATGCACATTCTGGATTAGTCGGTCATAAGAATGTGACAGAAGCATGGAAGGGGCTAGTGTAAATATTAAGGTCCTACCTTCTAGACCTGTAGAAGTGCTTGGACATGACACCACTCAAAAGAAAATGCTATCTATACTACACTCTCCCTGTGGGACTGATTGTCAGAACATATGGAGAAAGGCAAGTTCACAGGTGGTATTCAGCACCTTTAGTGATGGGGACGTTTTGATGGGAGAGATTTACAAGGCAGCCCAAGCTGTCATGCAGATGGAGTTAGTGATGACCATGAAGTGAGAAACTGGACACTTCCCATCAATTGCTGAAAATCTGGCACTGGCCACAAGCTTCAGACTTTCTTCTGGGCTCAGAAACAAGTCCAGGTACACTTAGTTTAATAAACGTGAAGGGTACCCAGTTGAAATAGTGGTCCATTAAGAAAGCTGCTTTCTATTAACATCTTACCTTCCAAGCTGCTACTTCATTTATTTCTGGAGAGATAACTAAAGAAGCCTATTGAGTGCTTCTAGTTTTGCTGTAATGCTCCTAAACTCAGATCATGAAGCTAGTCCATTTCATGTGAAGTCAGCTCTAGTTCACATTATTCTTTGGCCTGGTAATCACAAAAGCATTAGATAGCAACTGCACTACCATAAATTTGGAAGGACTAGAAGAATCGGGGCTCATGCTAGCTGTTCTTAGAGGTCCCACAAGAGAAGTTTCTTCATCTTCAGAGAAGGGGACATTCCAGCATTTCCCTGCTTCTTTCATTCCAGAGTAATCCACTTACTGATCTCCAAGAATCCATAAGCTGGTACATCAGGATAATAGGGCTAAGAAATGTAAACCGGATAAAGAGTCCTTGATCTCCTTTTCCAGGAGGCACCAAGACCATCAGAAAACAAAGTTGTTCTTCCTTAGTGTCAAGTTTCTCTAATCCCAAAGCTTCCATGGCCAACCAGTCTGCTTCCCCATCATGAAGCACAGGCATTTAAGAAGTTTATGTCAGCTTATTTGAGAGCCAATAGAAATAGATTTGGTGAAGACTATGAAGACAAATGTTTTTCCAAAGTCTTCCCTTTGTAACCCTTGTAAGAGATGGGCAAGAGACATTCAGGAAAGCTGGAATGGTAAACAGATTAACAATGCCTCTGGAAAGCTTACAACAGTAACAAGAACTTATGGCCTCTACCTATTGGCTTCTAGGGGTTGAGCCAAAACCTTTACTCCAAAGGCTTGATAAGCATAGGTGTAAGCAAGGGGACAAGACCAGAAATCCTATAGCAGCAACCTCAGTTTTTCTACCTCTTCTGAGTTCTTGACTTAATGTGAATCAAGATGGTCAGTTGGTAGTAGACATCTCCTTGGAGATGCAACTGGTTGGGTTTATTCAAAACTTGATCAAGTACCTAA
Organism: Homo sapiens; assembly: GCF_000001405.40. Taxonomy (NCBI): domain Eukaryota; kingdom Metazoa; phylum Chordata; class Mammalia; order Primates; family Hominidae; genus Homo; species Homo sapiens. The sequence goes on from NC_000012.12 coordinate 114,111,954, forward strand.
ACCCACCTTGCTTCAAAGCATGATTGATCTGTCTTCTAGTTATCTACATGCAGTGTTTGAAACAAGTTCCCACCCCAAGAGGGCTTCTATCAGCTGTCTTCTGGTTTTCTCAGAGATAGCCCTCCAGGTTAGCCTCTATCTTCAATGAAGCTATTAGTGTTTAATGCCCCTTTTCCCATAGCCTCTGTAGTGCTTGCGAGTGCCCTTTGGCCTGAACTTCTCCACACCACTGCATATGAAGTCAGTTCTTTTGAGGAGGGATTTGGAGCTCTGTTCTATTTCTCTCCACACTAAGGAAAAATGCAAGCTGTGACTAGTGCTAGGGATAACAATGGGAAGCCTAGACACCCCTTTTTAGGAGACCTTGATGAAAGGTGAAGAGCAACTCCAGGTTTCCTCAGCTTGCCTCTGTGTGAAACCCCTGCATTGTGAGCCCTAGTATTCTTAACACCTAGCCCAAGATAGAGCCTCTATCCCATAAATGGGAGCTGGATAGAAGACAAGAGCCCTACCTTCCAGCCAAGCACACATGGGATTAGCCTCAGCAACAGGTAGGCTAGAGGCAGGACAAGAAATCCTTATGTTCTGCCCCTCCATGAAAAGTAGCCCTCCAAATGGGAGCTGGGTGGGTGCAGGGGAGTCCCTTGCTCTTGGCTGTCTCATGTTGGAGTGTATTTTCTCACACTGAGCTGAGCTGAAAAGCAGGTGTAGATCTTGAGTTTGTGGTATTTGAACCAAGTTCTTAAGTTTTAGATTAATTCTTACTGTATGACCTTAGGGCCATTTCAGAGACCAAGTGGATTTAAGCAATTTTTGACAGTTTCATGGGATAAGGTTCACTATCAAGATTTTCATTGCCTTGGGAAAGTAGAACTCAGCATGACTCTGTTCATGAGCATGCATACAAATTGTTTACTTCAGAGTAATGCATGATGGGGAATTTCCTTGAATAAACCAATGAAAGATTGAGACTTTGCGAGGATACTTAGGTCAGGGGGCTTATACAGTACAATGTGGAACACTTGCCTGGGTCTGTCTTCATACTTCCAGATAGCGTTGGGTACTTTTGTAAAGGCATTTGATATGGTTTGTCTGTGTCCCCACACAAACCTCACCTTGAATTGTAATAACCCCACGTGTCGAGTGGAACCAGGTAGAGATATTTGAATCATGGGGTCAGTTTCCCCTATACCGTTCTCATGACAGTGAGTTCTCATAAGATCTGCTGGTTTTATAAGGGGTTTCCCCTGCTTCATTTGGCTCTCATTCTCCTCTTGCCTGCTTTCGTGTAAGACATGCCTTTATTCCTCCTTGCCTCCCACCATGATTGTGAGGCCTCCCCAGCCATGTGGAACTGTGAGTCAATTAAATCTCTTTTTCTTTGCAGATTACTCAGTCTCGGGTATGTGTATCAGCAATGTGAAAACGGACTAGTACATCTCTAGAGGCACATGCCATGTGGTCCAGCCATAATTATTTGTTGTCACAACTAAGTTTCCTTTCTATATGAAAAGATTATATTGATCAGAATTCTAAATGTCTTATGTGTTTTTTAATAGAAAGTTTCCATTATATCAACACAAGGTCCCTGCTAATCATGAGGGGGTCTGTATATGCATAGGGTAGTTGACATAAACCAAGAATGGTGACTTCAGTAACATTCACCATTGGGTCATTTTCTAATTGATGTAACCCAGTGACAATGACAGTGTTCCCCTAACCAGGGGGGAACTTACAACTCAGCACCAGTGCAGACACCAGAAATAGGCCTGTCCCACATGGCAGGAGGCTCCTACCAAGTCTGTACCTGCAGGTAGATGTGAGAGTTAAGGTCAGGGAGAACTCACCAAGGAACAATGGCACCCATTCCAAGAGCTCTGCATTCCAAGACAGATTTCCATGTTTATGCTCCCAGTTGTCAGATCTTTACCCAAGAAGAGAGTTCAGAATTTCTGAGGAACTGGAAGAGGAACCCCAGGCGACTGGTCAGGTGACCCTGCAACTGCTCTTCTCTGTACCGTGGGATCTAGGGTTCAGTTTCCCCGGTTGGGATCTCAGGGAGATGCTTACTTCCCTCTGCCCTTCTAAGCCTCAGCCTCCCTATGCAAAGATGCCAAGCATAGTTCCTCCCTAGCCTCTTCATTTGGAGCATAGCTGCAATTTGCTCAAACTACAGTCAGGATTTAGTAAGCAGGGATTTGAGGATGTAAAGTTCTATCACTTACACTTCTAATAACTAGACTGAGAAATCATGACCCCCTCTAACCTGTATAGCTTCTGTCTTACCTGAGAAAGCTTACTGGTTTCTTCTCTGAGGCTCCCAGCCTCCCACCATGGAGCCAGGAAGACCAAGAAAGGGATAAGCCAGAAAAAGCATATAATAGCAGCTTTACCAGATTAAGTCAAAACCTAGATAATACATGCTTGTTCCAGCTAAGTAAACTCTTGCTACAAGTCCCTGTCAACTTAAATATTGTCTCCCAGCTCCCCATCTTCAGGAACAGAAAACCCTTACCTGCCTGATAGCCAAGGTAATGGCTGAGACTTCTCTGGCCTTAGAGGGAACAAAAAACCTATACTTGCCACAAGCATCATTCTCATTTGGTAAGAGCCTGGGAGTGTCTAGTCCTCTAGGGATCCCCTTAGTTCCAAGGTTGAGTGATACTACTCTATTGGCAGAACTCTGCCTCGCTTTTCTCTGGAATCTTCTTGTGGCATCTCCAAGATCAGAAGCAGCTTTGTGGCCTTTCCTAGGTATAGGGTAGGATTTTTTTTTCTTTTGGTAGTGCTGGCTTGATAGTGGTGAATTCTCTCAGCATTTGTCTGAAGACGACTCATTCTTTTATGAAGCTTAGTTTTGCTGGATACAAAATTCTTGGCTGACAATTATTTTGTTTCAGGAGGTTAAAGATGGGGCCCCAATTCCTTCTGGCTTGTGAGATTTCTGCTGATTAAATCTGCTGTTAACCTATAAAGGAAAACGTATCCTGCCAAAACAGATTTCCATCATACCCCCAGTTGTCAAAGTACTTCATCTGAGAAACATGTTGAGATTCTCACAAAACTGTAAGGGGCGGGGGACAAGTTAAATGAGCCTGTGGCTGCATCTTTCCCTCCACACCGTTGGGGTCCTGAGGTTCAGTTTACCATGTTGGAGTCTCAGATGCTACTCCCTGCCATGAGCCTCAGCCTTCTTGTCCCCAGATGCCAAGGGCAGTTTCTTTGCCAGGTTCGGCATTGATAGATCTGCATTTCTCTGAAGACATGTTCAGGATTTTAGTCTGCAGGGAGAAACTAGATGCGGGAATTTGTGTAAATGCAGTAAGTGTTCACTGCTTACCCTTCTAGTAGTATACCAAGAACCATAAGTCATGACTTCCTCCAACCTGGAGCAGCATGGTTCCTCCTAAGCAAGCTTTTTTTGGCCTTTCCCAGGCTTCTGACAGAGCTAAGAGGACCAATAATGAGCAAGAACCTGGAGAAGTGTGTAAAAGTAGCTTTAACAGCTGTTCTGAGTCAAAGCCTAGAACATAATAGGTGTATACTTCCTTCTACCCAAGATGAACCCTTGTTGTCCAAGTCCTTCTAAGCCCCAGTATTGTGTCTCCCAGAGCCTCCTTCCCAGTTACATGAGAAAGGAAATAACATGTCAGTGTCCAAGAGTGGTAGCTTAGCTTGATCTGTCTGGCAATAAGTCGGAACCTGCATGTACCTCAGACGTCAGTCAGGAGCTTTCACTCCAAGTCTAGGAAAGGCTATGAGATGGCTTATACCTTGGAGAGGTCACAAGATGACTCAAGAAAGGTAGGCAGAGTTCGGTCAGTGGGATAGGAACCCTCAACCTGTGGGCATCCATGTTCCTAGGTTCTCTTCCCAAACAGGGATTCCATGTGGAAGGATAGTTCCAGTGGTCTTAGACCTCCTGTTCCATTCCTTTTCTGGAACAACTGATTCCTTGGGTGCACACAGAGCTTGAACTACACCAGAATCTGAGTCCCCAAGGATGTGCATCAAGGATAGTGTAGGGCCAGTCAAGCCCAGCAAGCACACATGTGAGCAGCTGGAGAATCAAAGCCTCGGGTATCCTCTATTCCATCCCGTGGTCTCCACAAGCAGGTTCTCCCAACATTCAGGAGATGGCAGCCCCAGATACCAGACATAGAAGATGTCATACTCACTTGAGCAATACACAAGCACAGGTCTATACCTGGATCAGTTGCCAGGGGCATGTTAAGCATCTTGTTTCCAGCTCTGAAGTTGCTGTGAGCTCACCCAAATGAGGTTAAGATGAGAAGGTGAGGAAGAGACATAAGTGGTGGAATATTATGAACAGTTGAAGAAATCATGAGCTCAACTCAGGTAAGGAACCCTCAAGATTTCCCCCCTACATATGGGCTTGTACTTGAGAACTGTAACACTTTCAGGGAGAAATTCCATAAGTTTTACCTAGAGTTAGAGTTAAGGTCACTGACATGCCTACAGGAGCAGATTCCAGCTGGGAAGATATCAGTACCAGGTTTTAGAATCATCTCAGTCTGAGAAGGCCATGTCCCTTTCAGATCTATACCTACAGAGTCCATTACTAGAGATTTTGGCTGGAATGTGAATGTCCGTCCAAGAGACCACACTCAGGATGGATGCTCTGGTACGGTCACCTCACCTGAGGTTACAGGTTAACACTAGAACCTGAACTAAGGGGTCAAGCATTGGTGCTAGAGCCTTACCTAAGGCTGATACAGTTTAGGAAACCCTGGCTGGGCAATTCCCAGGCTCATCCATGGAAATGGTAGGAATGATTGTTTCACTAGATGCCCTCATTTTGTCATGAACACATTCAGCATCTGCCCTTAAGTATAACAACTGCCAATACCACAATCTGAGGTCAGGACAGTAAGAGTCTTCCCTCTTGGGCTTCAGTCCTCAAGCTTCCTGGGAAGTGACAGAACCATTGGTTCTGCAGGAACATGACAAGTGTTGCTCAGAACTTTCACTCTTGGATAAGAATATTTACTTCTTAGGGAAACAAAGTTTTAGTAAAAATATAAAATATTACAATAAAAGGGCAAACTTACTGTCTGGAACAGTGAACTCAGCTAGCATTTATGTATTCTTTGAATGCTCCATTAAGTGTAATAAAATGTCTTTTAGGCAAGGGGCTAATTTATCCTCCAGGGAAGGAAAAATGCTAGATAAGCATGGATGTTTCACCCTAAAGCAATGAAATGTATAGGGTTTCAGATCAAGGTCACCAAGTTCCAGTTAAGGGAACATCTGCCAAATATAGGCTAATTTAGAAGTCAAAAATCACAACACACTGAAAACGATTTACAAGTCTATAGTGCTTTCCAGGAATAGAAGAAACCTAAAAATTTTCTTTGTAAGTGGAGATTAAGTTTTTCTAACATCTATGGATGGGGTTTGTAGGTGGATGATTTTAGATTCCATACGTCAGTGAAGTAGATAGGAAACCAAGGATCTCATACATTTATCCCCCTCAGTAGACACAAAACAGGGAGAAGAACCATGATAGAGGAAAGGTGATCACCAGGCAGCATCCCCAGCAGTGCCGACACCCCCATATGCACCTCCAGAGAGGACACCCGAGAGCTCCTCATCTTCACTGACTTCTTGCCAAAAAGCATTCTACCAGGGCCTGCACTCAAGGAACCACTGAGGAGTCCAGGGTCAGAGTCCTGAAGGTTATCCACCATTCTGGGTTAACTGGTCATAAAAATGTAAAGACATGGTTGGGAGAGCTAGTACAGACCACCTCTAAGATCCTACCTTCCTGGTAGGTGGCAGAAATGCTTAGGGGTCATGAAGATCAAGACTCTACCTGAAATCAGTGTCCCCCATTTACAACATCTTATGTGTACAGAACAATGGGAACAGAGACACTTTACTGACCAATAAAGTCAAACAGGGGGCCCATGGGGCAATTGGGATATGTGTCCCAAGGCTCCATTATCCACTGACTCAGACCACAAAGTGACAGAAACCAGACGCCTCTGGCCAATACACAAACCCTAGCACTGCCATAGGCCTCCTCTGCCTGCCTGCTCTGGGCTCAGAAGCCAGCCTAGATGGCCCTTGAAGAGTGAGGCCCTCCTCTGAGCTGAACCCACATCAGGACAGCAGACTTTTTGCTCTCACCTGGCTTTACCTTCTAGAATTCTTAGAAAAGCTAAGGACAGACTAGAAAAGCCTATTGAGAACTTTGTTTCATTGCAAGGCTTCCAATCTTTAGTTCATATTTTACATGTCAGCTACTTCTCTCACTTTGCCTTGGTAGAATAGCCACAGAAGCATTAAGTGGTAATTAAGATCACATACTTCTCAGGAGGTTGGAGGAAATAGTATGAGGCAGTATTCATCCTCCATTATTCATGGCTGGGAGACAGAACTTTTAGAAGGACATGTCAACAGAGGAGCAGGAAGCCTCTGAGCTGTGCATATCTGCACGCTGTTAACCACCCTTCATAGAAGGAATAGGACTGGGATAAACGAAAACCCCTATGATTTAAAGGACACTTGTGATACTGACTAGCCACAAATGTTATGACACTTGGATCCTCATTTGTGTAGTCAAGAGTTCTGATGCTTGAGAATTGGAAGTTTGAGGACCCATAGGTTTAGTGATAATGGGGTTCTCAGTTATTTTCATCAATGTGCTGTCTTTCAGTAACTCGAAACATCACACATGCATATGATGTGTTCCTAAGAAATTTGAGGTCAGGAGTTTGCAAAAATGCCGCCGGAATGGGAGTGGGTGGATGCATGTAAGACTTGCCTGAGTCAGTTGTAGAACATGGGTCATGCTTGAAGGCTAAAGCTATTGTTCTGGCTTTTTCTGTAACAGGTTAAGAGCTAACTAGAGACCCCTTCCAAGCCACTCAAAAGACCAGTGTGCCCTGTAGCCCACGCAGTTTTATCAAGTCCCCAGGGATGTCTTACTGTCTTATGGTGCTGACTAGTCCATCATGTCACTTGGTTCAAGGGAAGGAAAATCTTGGATGTAAAAAGAATTTCACGTAGAATATTTTCTACATGAATATATTCCATTATTCTGAAGGTTTTGCTAATCAGTACCCAAAGGGCCAGCTAGAGGTTCCCACTCATTACAAAAAGTCTGCATTTACATTGGGAGCAGCAGTGTCAAACCTAGGATGAGTGCTTCACTGACATTCAGCACCAGGTCCATTGACACAAGCAACAGTGGCTGTGAAGAGGTATTCACCCATCCAACAGGGGTAGGGAATCTAATCCAGGACAGTGCTGACACAAAGAAGCTGCTTGCCTGATAAAACTGGAAAGTTTCCTTGAAGGCTACTTACCACCCAGTGAGACTCCAGAGTCCAGGTGAAGAACCAAGAAGCAACAGCACCCACAAGGACACCCTAGGAAGTGTACACTGGAGCCCTGCACTCCTGTGACAGATTTCTACATTCACTCCCCTAGTTGCTAACTCTTACCTATGGAAGGAGTTCAGATTTTCTCTGAGGGAGCTGCAAAGAGATCCTCCTGAACCAGTCGGATGAGTCTGCAGCATTTTTTTGGACTCCAGGGCCTGAGGCTGAGTTTCCCCTGCTGGGGTCTCAGGCAGACACTACCTCTGCTTGCACTCAGATGCCAAGTGCAGTTCCTCATTGGCCTCTTTACTGAGCACACAGCTGTGTTTTTGACAAGATGGTCAGGAGTTGACAAGCAGGGAGAGGAATGTAAGATGCTTCATTCCCTACACTTTAGGCCGACTGTCATGAGCCATAAACTCCCACTCACGATCCAGTTTTGATTGGCCTAGAAGTTCCTTCTTAGCCTCCCATCAGGCTTCCAAGGCTTCCTCCAGGAGCCAGGAAGAATCAAGGAAGAGAGAAGCCTGGGATGTAAAATAGTTTTACAGTTAAGTCAAAACCTAGGTCATAGTACAGGCAGTTCTGTTCCCCTGAGGCAAGTTCTTTTTCCAAGTCCCTCAACTTTGTCTCCCAGTTCCCGTTCTTTAGAGAACTCTTGGCTGTCTCAGTGGCCAAGGTAGCAGATGAGAATTCACTGGCCTGCAGGGAATGGAAGACCTGTGTCTGCTGTGTCATTACCTATTAGTTCAGCAGTTCCACCTCCAAACGTGGGTAAAGCCACAGGACTGCTTGTGTCCTTGGAGGTCTGACTATAGAGACACAGAAGGCATAGTCTCTTTCAATGTGAAGAGGAAACTCTACACTTAGACAGAGGTTCCCAGGCTTCCTGTATTGGGAATTCAATGTGGAAAGATGATCTGTGTCCCATGGACCTCTTCCTATCCCATTACATGTCTGGACTGAGTCTCTTGGTTGTTTAGGTATTAAGTTGGTACAAAAGCAATTGTGGGTTTTGCCATTGAAAGTAATGACACAAAACTCGCAATTACTTTTGTACCAACCTAATACATACAGCTTCAGGAGCTGACACCAAGGATGAACAAGGAGGACTGAAGGGGGTAGTCAAGACTTGTGAGTTCACATCTGTACCAGCCACGTGGAAACCCAGGTGTCTTCACACTATCCCAATTCTCTCCTTAAGGAGCAGGTTGTTCTGGTGTTCAAGAAAAGAGCCCAAGTGACCCAAGAAACCAGTGGACCTGGACACATGCCAGGCTGTCTATAGCAAACAGGTACTTGTCTGTAATATGATCCCTAGAGACAGAAGATGGTATTATTTCTGGCTCATACATCATAGTTCACCCAGATAAAGGTTTTGAAGAATAGCAGTTGAGGAATGACATAGTGTCTGATGTCACCGATTGGTTGAGGCTGAGTCAGAAAAGGGACACCCATATGAAGCCTCACCCTATATGGCTTCATATGTGAGGGAAGCTTATTCCTATGGAGAAATTCCCTGATGTTACTGAGGAATAGTGCTGAGGTCACCGAGACTTGTTCTTGCTAGTGCAAAGCAAGTTTTCCTGCATATGAACGCCAGATCATAGAATCAAAGCCCAGGTACAGACTGGGGAGAGAAAGCCATGGCCCTTTCAGATCTAGGCCTGTAGGGTCAACAGGAGTTTGACTAGGTTTTTAGAGTCAGTTTCTCCGTAACCAGTCTCAGGATGGACACTTAGTACAACTGTGATGTGGTTGCCACCATACCTGATGCCACAGGGCAAAGGGAGAGCCTAGACAGAAGATCAGACAATGCCGAAGCCCGATTAAGGCTGGCTCAGTTTTGGAAATCGAAGCTGGCCAAACACCCAGCTCATCCATATGAGCTATGAGAGTAGCATTTCACTAGATGCCTTTATCTAGCTCTGATCTTGAACACATTTAATAGCTGCTGTTCTTTGGCCAGGAATTCTCTCCAGTGCCAAGTCATAGATTCTTCTTTAGCCATCAGAACCTGAGCCACCGAGCCCACGATGCTTATCAAGAGTACAGGAAGGAAATCTTTAGACAGCCTTTTGTAAGTATGAACTGGATTCTGGAATTAAATTTCTAGGTTGTAAGCCCCATCAATATCAGAATCTAGCAAAATAGGAAAAAGAATCAAGGATCTCACTTATGTAGTAGCCATAAAGCAGGGGAAGCAACCATGACAAAGGGACATTGTTCAGCTTCATGATATGGCTATTTTAGCATCCTCAGCTGTGGGACACCCTGGCATGCACCTCTAGGCAGGATGCCAGGAGCTACCCGTGACCTCCATGGGATTCCTGCCAAGAAGGGTTCTATCCACCTCTTAGAAGGATCCTGGGTGTCTTCCAGGTTGTGTCTTACAGGTTATTCTGTATTTATAATTAGCTGGTCAGGAAGAGACACAAGGTGGGAATAACTGGTATGGACCTTCTAAGATCCTACTTTTCTAGTAGGTGGCATAAGTGCTTGCAAGTTAGAGGTGAAGACCCCACCCGATTGAAGTCACTGTGCCTTGTTTATACCACCTTCATATGGATAATACAATAAAAGACAGACCTTTTATTGACCAAGCATTTTGAATACATGGGGCTCTGTGGGGCAGCTGTGGCATTTCAAGGCCCCATCATCTGATTCTCAGAGCACATAATCACGATGAGCCAAGATCAGACTCTGGCAGTGCCAGGGTTGGCACCTTGGGCAAAGGCCTCACCTCACAGCCTGCTCTGGGCTCAAACAAGCCCAGGTGGACCTTGCCTTTAATGAGAAAGGTTCTCCCTTTGAACTGAGGCTGCAATGAGACAAGGCCTTCTATCACGGTTTGGCCTTTGAGGCTTCTTTATGTGATTGTTAGAGAAGCAAGCAATAAAACCTGTAAGTGCTTCTCATTTCACTGAAAGATCCTCAGCCTCACGTTGAGGTCAAAGTCATCTGATGTGTCACCTATGTTTGCCTTGCCTTGACAAGCTAACAAGGACTTTAGTACCTGAGCTAATGTACTCCCCCCACCAAGGAGGAGAGGCAGTGTCTGATGTAGCATCCATTCTTTGAGATCTTCGTCCTGCATGATTGGGAGGGGTGGACATTCCAGCATTCAATTACTTGTCTCTTCTACAGATTCCCACCTCTCCAAAGGTCTTCAGGGATCTGCAGTTGGAATATAGGTTTAGTATTTGAATCTTGACTGCTGTGAACAGAAGAGTTCCTTTCATTATTTCTGAGAAGTTGCAAATGAAGAAGAGCCATGGTAGATACAGAAATAAGATGGTATACTTGATGCAAGGTTGAATTAATTGCAAAATACCCTTTGCTAACTGGTTCTGATGAGCTACATGGAGATCTTTATGGAGGTGCTCAGACTTGTGACTACCACCCATGCTGGAAAGATTTGGTTGTAATTGCATTTAAGTACTCATATTTTAAAGCAACACCCCATTATCCAGAGATGGTCATTCAGGGAGAGCCCTAGTGGTGAGCAATTCAGCAATGCCTCTGGAAAAGCTTATGATGGCTAAGAAGTCTAATCTAATGGCTGCCTACCTGACCCCAGGTGGAAGGGACTTCATTCTGAGGGCCACTCAGACATTACCTTCAAGAAGGAAAACAAATTAGAAACCCTACATGAGCATCCTCAGCTGTTATTTGTCTTTTGATTCCAGAAATATTTGGATCAAGATAGTATGTGATACTACAAGTGTCTCCCAGGGGTCACAGCTGGAAGAGGGGCTCACCTGAGAGGTATCAGGTACCTGATCAGGTCAGTGTCAAGGGAGACTGAGCTTTCCTGTTTCCACATGCACTTTCCTCACCCTTAACCTAAAGCCAGTAAGTGTTCAATATTAAGAGTCAGATTTAATGGTAAGCCTCCTGTATTGAGGATCTAGGGAAGGAAGAGAGATAGTCAGAAGGGCACTGAGGTTACAGCCAAGTTCACAGCTACAACTGAAGAGCCTGCAACTAACTCATTGTTTTGCAAAGGTGATGACTGGTGACTCATCCTATGTTAATCTCAGTACTCAGTGCCACAGATACATAGGAAAGCATTGTCTGCGTTCTAGATGGAGTCCCTGTGTTACTCCAAGTTTCAGACAGGGTCTTGCTGTTGTCCAGGCTGGAGTGCAATGGCATGATCATAGCTTAGGACGGCCTCAAGCCCAGGCTCAAGTGATCTTCCTTCTTTAGCCTCCCGAGTAGCTGGGACTACAGGTGCACGCCACCACACCCGGCTAAGTGTTTATCCTTAACATGTCAGCTACATTTCTTGCTTTTACCTGGCAGACTAACTGCAGAGGCATTAGTGACTGAGATCATTATTCTCTAGGAACTGGGAGAAGTATCAGTATTTGAGGCATGTGAACAGAGCAACAGGAAGCCTGAGCTTTGGACATCTGCAGGATATGGGCCATCCTTCATAGACAGAAGTAGCCAGGGTGAAAAACCTTACAATTTAGGGGACACTTGTCACATCAACCAGCAACAAGTATGGGTAGAATTTTGATCCTAGTTTAGATAGTTTGCAAGATTGTGACACCTGAATTTGAAGTTTGACTACTTATGGTTATTTAGTGATAAAGGAGCCAGTTTAAGTAAGTACGGTTAAGGTATTGTATCTCTAAATTTTCTGATCATACATACTACAATGTTTCTAAGAAATGTGGGGTTGGATATTTGCTACAAAATGCTGCAGGAATAGGAGTAGGTAGAGGCAAACAAGACGACTTGCCATGGGTCACAGGTGGATATGCGTTATACTTTCAAGGACAAAGGCCACTGTTCTATCTGGGTAAGTGTTTTCTGTAACAGGCTTTAAAAAGGTTAAAACCAACTACCTTTCCCAAGTCACCCAGGAGACCAGTACATGTTGTGGGCTGCAGTTTTGCACAAGCCTCTAGAGATATATTTTTTCTTACTGTCCAGAGTAGTCTTATGTCACTTAGAGGAAAGTCTCTTGGGTATTGCAAGAATTTCATGCTGACATCCTGCATGGACCTTGGATAGGCCTCTGGATACTTCTGTATTAGGAAACACTAAAGTCTTCTAAGAGCCACCTGGAAGTTACTTATGACATGTTTGCCCTAAACAAACAGCTAACCAAGGAGTCACTTCATGAACATCAGGTTCATCTGATGAGACCCAGTTGTCATGATAGGATGTTCCCCTAGCCACAAGGAGGTAGAATCTGCAACCTAGAACAGTGCTGACACCATCAGGAAGCCTGCCCTGCAGACAGGAGGCTCCCAAGTCTGCATACCGGGGCAATCCTACAGCAAATAAGAAAGAACCAAGAACAGTGGAACCCAGAGCGATGCCTAAGGAAGTACAGATGGACATCCTGTTCTCCTTCCAAGACAGACTTCCACATTCATGCCCTTAGTTATCAAGTAATGCTTCCCCGAGGGCCCAGTTCAGGATTTCAGATTAGGAAGTGACTGGTCCGGTGGGCCTGAACCAGTTTCCTTCCCTCTGTACCATAGGAGTTGAAGTTCAGTTTCCCATACTAAAGTCTCAGGCAGATGCTACCATCTGCCCTTCTGAGCCTCAGCCTCCCTGTGCTCAGATGCCAACTGCAATCAGGCTCCCCATTAAGAACAGCTACATTTCTCTAACAAGATGGTCATGAGTTGTGCGAAAGCAATGAAGGGAATTAGGTAAGACCAAGAAGTTTCTTATTCTTGAAATACTCAAATCATGATCCCCTCTAACATGGTTCAGCATGAACCAGCCTGAAGCAGATCATATTGGCCTTTCCCATGATCTCCCAGGCTTCTCCATGGAGCTAGGATGTCCAGAGAAAGAGGCTAGACCAAACGGACAGTAGCTTAAACAGCTTTTTCAAGTAATAACTGATAAAGATGCAGTTCCTTCCACCTGAAGTGAACTCTTACATTGAGAGTCCTTAGTATATTGTCTAAGCCCCCTCACCAGGTAAAAGATGCCACCTGAATACTCAAGGGTGGTAGCTGAGTTTATCTTGGAAGGAATTGAAACTCATGTATCTCTCAAGTGTGATTACTTGCTCATGAAGTTAAAATCCAAACCTAGGAAAGGCCACAAGGCTGCTTGCAACATTGGAGATGCCACAATATTAAGAAAAATGGAGAAGTTTCCGCTCCAGATACTCAGTATTTGAGGAGATGTTTTTTTTTTTAACCTTAGAGTTGTCCATCATAGAATTAACTGTTTCATGGACTTCCTGTTCAAGAGCTTTTTCCACATGTCCGATTTTTTAGGTGCACACAAGGCTTAAGCTCACAAGCTGCCAAGGTTTCCAGGGATGATGGAGGACAGTTCAAACCCAGTGAAGACAAAGCCCTGGTGGTATTCTTAGCCCTATCCCAAGTCTTCCCTTGAGACATTTCTCCCAACGTTCAGGAGAAGAGCCCAACAATGGTCCAGGTGCCTAGGAGACCCAGATGACAGTTTCATACCTAATAGGTATTTGTTACATCTTCTCCAAATCTAGGGTCATATTTGAGGAAAGGTTTATGAAACGTTTGTGAGCTAGCCCTCGGGTTTATGAGCTTATGTAGACCAAAGCTTTAAGATCAGAACATGCAGAATGAGGGAAGCCTGACTCGAGTAGTTAATTGTCTACATAGCCCTAAGTTTGTCAAGGGAGATTCAGATTTACATTTGGTTGCTGCAAGTGGCAAGGCCATACTATCTGGCTTCTGTCACCAAGGAAAGCCATGATAGTCTTAAGGGTTTAAGGAGGAAGTTTAAGTACCCAATTAAGGAGGAAGCATCACTGCAGAAGTGGTTTTTGCCTGTTTGAAACTTGGTCATACCCACATAAGCACCTGATCTCAGAATGACACCATGATCTCAGATTAAAAAGCTATTTTACATGACAGCTCTAGCTATAGTGAAGATAGTTCACCCAAGATTTGACAATTGCTTAGCATGTACTTTTAGTATAGACATATTGCAACTTTTCAGCTTGGTTGTCAGCTCACCTAATCATACAAGTTAGACACTAGAATCTAGGATTAGTGATCAAACAATGCCAGAGATCTTGACTAAGTGGCTCAAGTTTGGGAGATCTAATTGATCACATCCCTGGCTTATGCAACGAGGTGGCTAGGAGAATAACTGATGCTTAGACGTCTCCTATCTTGGTCTGCGTAGGACTAATAGATGCCATCTGTTGACCAGGTTACTATGGCATTGATAAGTGACATTCTTCACTGACCAATAACTAAGCTTCCCTAGGAAGGGCAAAATGTTTCTGGGTTGAGTTCCTGCTCATTAAGAATTATTTGATTTAAACCAGGTTAGTGTTAACTCATCACTAATAGTTCCATTAAAGCATAGGTCCTGGGGCACTAAACTCACCTAGTACCCATGTGATTTCCAAGTCATTTCCTTCTGTAAGCCAAAACCATTTAGATAAGAGGCCAATAACAGATCTGGAACAGCAAGAGTCCCAGGTGAGCATGGACAATGTTGTGCCATAAGACTA